>NW_018654706.1:0-166136 GCF_000001405.40 Homo sapiens
CCTCCTACTTCAGCCCCCAAAGCACTTGGATTATAGGTATGAGCCACCAGAGGTTATTATTAGAATGTATAATATCCACTAAGGTGGGAGGATCACTTGAGCCTAGGAGGTCAAGGCTGCAGTGAGTTAAGATCATGCCACTATATTCCAGCCGGGGTGACAAAGGGAGACCCTATCTCTAAAAAGAATTACAAAAAAATAAGTGAACGTAAGTGACCCAGCCCCTGTCACACTAAGTTAATGAAATCACAATGCCCTCCCTACCAGTTTTTAATTCTTTATTTTCAAGAGTTCTTAAGAACACAGCTTATGTTATTCTACCTTTAAATATTTTTCTCCAGATATAAAGTATTTTAAATAGACATGGAAGTACAAAAGTAATCTGTCATGCATATTTAATAGTGCCTAAATTCTAAAATCAGACACTGGAGCAAAGAGTGATATATGGAGAGAAAGGAAAATAAAGAAGTCCCTAAATCTCTGTGACTTCTCTTTTATCCTGTTACCTGCTAGACACTGCTCACTAAAAGCAATGCTTCAACCCCAGTCCCTAATAAAGACAAACATCAAAGGGATAAAGGAGTCTGTAATGAATAGCTCAGTATATTTAAAAGCTCCATACACGGGATAGACAGACACTGCGATTTTATATTTTTTATATTTCTCTTTTTCCAAATTTTCTATCATTAGCATGTGTTCTTTTATAATCAGGAAAAAAAAAAACAACTGAAAAAAATTGGGCCAGGTGCGGTGGTCCACGCCTGTAATCCCAGCACTTTGGGAGGCCGAGGAGGGCAGATCACTTGAGGTCAGGAGTTTGAGATCAGCCTGACCAACATGATGACATCCCGTCTCTATTAAAAATACAAAAATTAGCCAGGCTTGATGGCGGGCATCTGTAATCCCAGCTACTCAGGAGGCTAAGGCAGGAGAATCACTTGAACCTGGGAGGCAGAGGTTGCAGTGAGCTGAGATCGCACCACTGCTCTCTAGCCTGGGCAACAGAGTAAGACCCCGTCTCAAACAAATACATAAATAAATGTATATTTATATGTTTTAAGTTCAAATAAAATGTTTGTTGTTGTTGTTGTTGTTGTTGTTGTTTTAAGACAGAGTCTTGCTATGTCACCAGGCGGAGGTGCAGTGGCGCGATCTTGGCTCACTGCAATCTCTGCCTCCCAGGTTCAAGCAATTCTCCTGCCTCAGCCTCTCGGGTAGTTGGGATTACAGGCACGTGCCACCACGCCCAGATAATTTCTGTATTTTTAGTAGAGACGGGGTTTCACCATGTTGGCCCGGATGGTCTCGAACTCCTGATCTCATGATCCACCCGCCACGGCCTCCCAAATTTCTGGGATTACAGGCGTGAGCCACTGCGCCCAGCCAAATAAAATGTTTTTTTAAAAAATAAAAATTAGGCCGCGCACGGTGGCTCATGCCTGTAATCCCAACACTTTGGGAGGCCGAGGCGGGTGGATCACCTGAGGTCAGAAGTTCAAGACCAGCCTAGCCAACATGATGAAACCCCGTCTCTACTAAAAATACAAAAAAATTAGCCAGAGGCCGGGCAGGGTGGCTCATGCCTGTAGCCTGCAATCCCAGGACTTTGGGAGGCCAAGGCAGGCGGATCATCTGAGGTCAGGAGTTCGAGACCAGACTGACAAACATGGAGAAACCCCATCTCTACTAAAAATACAAAATTAACCGGGCATGGTGGTACATGCTGGTAATCCCAGCTACTTGGGAGGCTGAGGCAGAAGAATCGTTTGAACCCAGGAGGCAGAGGTTGCAGTGAGCCGAGATCGCGCCATTGCCCTCCAGCCTGGGCAACAAGAGTGAAACTCAGTCTCAAAAATAATAAATAAATAAATAAATAAATGTGAAATAGCATATATTCATCATTCTTTTGGCTTCTGTCTCTGTAACCCACCAATTCGTAGACACAATCACACAAGATACAGTGGCTTTTCCTATATTTAACTCACCAGCTCAGGATCATCCTCCTCTACAATTGTAGGTTTTCCTTCCTTCTTTAATTGTTTTTTTCGCTCTTTCACCTAAAAAGAATTTTTTTTCATCAAAAGACGAGCATCTGTGCTTTGAGAATATCCACTGGGCTGTACACATACAATATATTTAACTTTCTATAGGCACGGGTATAGCAAAAAGTTTTCATTAAAAAAAAAAAGAGCCCCTCCCCTCCCTCCTCAAAAGAACAACAGAATCAAGGAAAATTAGGAACCACAAGTCCTTTTTCTAATCTCATCTAAAATCCAATCTACCAGGAAGAATGAAAGATGAAAGGGGACCAACGGGAGGTTGTCCCCAACTCATCAGATCCAAAAAGTCTTTGAAACAGACTACTTATTTACCTTTCTTGGCTTGTGGTTATGTGTTTAGAGCAAAGCAAATATATCTGTCAAGTTTTAGAAGAAGCTACAGAATCTGTGGCATTATGTCCAAGTAGTTTTTCTGGCATTTCTATAACTGCATTCTTGATCACTTTCACCATGGAACCTCCTTAAACCACATATCATATTAACTGATACTTTTATCACATTGGCCACTACTGAGATAAAAAATAAATAAATAAATATACGAATTCATACAAGAATGACACTACTCCATGAACTAACCAGTCTATTATACCAGCAAAGGCCAAGTACCCTCTAAGCTCAGAAAGGCCCTACTGCCACCCTGTGGTCAGGAAGCCTAAGGATGACTTTCTTACAGGTGAAAGACATACGAAGCCACAATGATTTAAGGAGAAACTGTCAGGCACTTTCCCTATTTCTACCAGGATAGGGCCTACAAGTGCCATTTCCAACACATGACCCGCAGGATATAGTTATGGGCCCTTTGTCTCCTCTTCTTATCCATTTTCCTCACCGAAACTGGATTCATTATTATGGTTATAAAGTTGTCTCAGATTTCAAAGCTCTTCATGTGAAAAGTCATCCAATCACAATTGAAGCAGCTCTTACAAATGACCTCAAGATTCTTGCCCCAGCAAGTAAAAAGTTAAAAGACCTTTCTTACCTTGGGAAAGCCATACTGACATTTCCCACCACATTGGAGACTTATGTATGCCCTCAAGAGCAAACAAAAATAACACCAGCTACAACTCAGTTTCCTTCAACTGAGTTCTTCCCAACTCTGTTATTAAGATGGACATAAACCTCCTCCTATTTTAAAAAAAGTTTACGCCTATCCTCTTGCTAGCCTTTGCCAAGCCTTGTTGCAAACCCTTCACAGGGACAAGAATAAAAATCAAGAGTCAAGAGTCACAGGCTGCTCCACGTTTCCACTCTAAGAATGGGGTAAGTGGCAATATGTGATGAGAGGGAGAGAACAACCCTTTCTCCCCAACACAGGACTGGTAGGGAAAGAGGTAGGAGCAGTGTACCAGCTACTCCTCATCTGAGTTCTTCTCTTAGGGGTGAATTACAGCTTCAGGCACACACTATTCATGACCACCACAGCAAAGTGGTAGAGAGCACAGAAGTAGCCACAGGTTGTGCCAGTAGGCATTACTATGTTCATATGTACCCTTCTACAAGGTGCCCAAGGCTTGCTGATACTTCCTGTAAACACAGCAGCACTATAAATACTTACAGTGTGTTCCACGTATTCTTTTCCTGCCTGAATTACATCCAGGGCCCTCTTCTTTTGCTCCTGATCCAGTAGCAACTTGTAAGCTTTGTCCACAGCTAATGCAAAACATTGAAATTAACTGTTTCTGCAAACACCCTCTGAAAGTCTGAACTATACTCAGGCAGTGTAAATGGACTTGTGCTCTCTAAAGCATTCCCTACTTTAATTATTTACTGTCGTTAAACTAAGTTAAAAAAAACATTCAACTATAGCAATGACTTTCCTTAAGAGCCTTGGAAAAAATTAAATATATACTCAAGGCTAAATACACTACATCTGGATTTAATTCAGTGATAAAATTCTTTATGTTCAAAGAAAAAAAATGATCCTATGCAATAACAGTCTTTGTTGGCATATAAAAGTTTTAACAAAGCAAAGTTAAGGTCTACTTCTTAAACAACAACATTCTGCTTTGAAATGGCAACTGCTCTACTGAAAACCACAGCTTCTTGGTGACCAGAAGACAAAACTATAACAGTCTTTGCTTGATCTAGGACAAGGAACAGTTAGGCCCTGCCATTCACAATCTAATACTCAGAAGCAGGTAAATTTACAAATACCTTCAAAAGCCTTTTGTGCTCTGTCAGCATCATCTTGATTTTTGTCAGGATGCACCAAGATGGATAACTACAATAAGAGAAAAGTTGGGGTTGTCAATAAGGGAAACATTTACTAACTTCCAGCCTGCCCTGTCTCGTTACAACCAAAAGCTCTAAGGTCCTACGGCAAAAAGAGACTCTTAGCAAAAGCATTTAAAAAATTAACAAATCTCTTTAAATGCCCAGAAATACTGATCTTTAACAAAATTCAAGCACCAAAAGGTAAAGGTACAACTAGGAAACATTTCAGGTTTTAATCACAAAGTTGAGACCAAACATGCCAGGCACAGAGGCTCACGCCTGTCATCCCACCACTTTGGGAGGCTGAGGTGAGAGGATTACTTAAGCCCAGGACTTCGAGACCAGCCTGAGCAACATAGCAAGACCCTGTCTCTACAAAAAAAAAATTTTTTAATTACCCAGACATGGTGGTGGTCGCCTGTAGTCCAAGCTATTTAGGAAGCTAACGTGGGAGAATCACTTGAGCCTGGGAGGTTGAGATTGTGCCACTGCACTCCAGCCTGGGCAACAAAGTGAGACCCTGTCTCCAGGAAAAAACAAAAACAAAAACAAAAACAAAAACAAATGGAAGCCTAGCACTATGAAGATGTTGTAATAATTTGGGGGAGGAGGGAGACTGAAAGGTATCAAGTTCCTATTATGTTCCTTATGCAGGTTGAGCACCCAAAATCCAAAAGGCTCCAAAATCTGAAACTTTCTGAGTGCTAACATGATGCTCAAAGGAAACGCTCATTGGAACATTTTGAATTTTCGGATTAGGGATGCTCGACCATTATGCATTCTGCAAATATTCCAAAATCTGAAAAAATCTGAAATCTGAAATACTTCTAGTCTCAAGCATTTCAGATAAGGGATACTCAACCTGTACTAAGCACTAAGGTGGCTAAAGCAGGTATGAGACATCAACTCTCTCCTAAAAGAACTCCTAATCTAAAGCAGTTTCTCATTCTGCCTGTGCTCCAACCCTGTGAAGCTTCTGAAAAAGACAACATTCTAATTTCCACCCTCAGACCTTCTGAGTTAGTCTTTGGCATCTGCACTTTGTAAACCTCTACTAGACTGGGTTTCAGATGATCGTAGGGAATTAGCCCTTATTTTGTTAGGTGGGATAAGTGATTATGCAAGAAAATGTCCTTTTTTTGGGAAGGGTACAAGCTGAAGTATTTAGGGGTAAAGCATCATGGTTTATTGCAATTTACAATGATTCAGCCAAAAATATATAGTTAAATATATAGTCAGTGTCTGCCAGGAGCAGTGGCTCCCGCCTGTAATCCCAGCACTTTGGAAGGCTGAGGCTGGCAGATCACTTGAGGTCAGGAGTTCGAGACCAGCCTGGCCTACATGGTGAAACCCCGTCTCTACTAAAAATACAAAAATTTGGCAGGCACAGTGGCACACATCTATAATACCAGCTACTCAGGACGCTGAGGCAAGAGAATCACTTGAACTCAGGAGGTGGAGGCTGCCGTGAGCCAAGATCGCAACACTGTACTGCAACCTGGGTGACAGAGCCGGACTCCGTCTCAATAAATAAATAAATATATATATATATATATATATATATATATATATATATATATATATAAATGAAATTAACTATTCAATATAGATGGTGGATACATGAATATTCGTTGTTCTATTCTTTTTTTTTTTTTTTTTTTTGAGACAGAGTGTTGCTCTATCATCCAGGCTGGAGTGCAATGGTGCTATCCCAGCTCACTGCAGCCTCAATCTCCTGGACTCAAGTGATCCTCCCACCTCAGCCTTCTGAGTAGCTGGGACTACAGGCACGGCTAATTTTTGGCTTTTGCTGTTGTTGTTTTTCGTTTTTTGTAGAGACGGGGTTTCACCATGTTGCCCAGGCTGGTCACGAACTCCTGAGCTCAAGCAATCTGCCCGACTCAATGTCCCAAAATACTAGGATTACAGGCATGAGCCACTATGCTTGTCCATTCTTTTTTCTATATAAAATTTTTATAATAAACCAGCTAAAAAAAAAAGAACTTTCATAGGTAATTCAGATACTCACAGTTAAAAACCATGACATATTGTCAATTGACAGAAACCAACTAGTTGGAACCCAGGGAACTATGTCGGGGAATGAGAACAAATGGGAATCTAACGCTCCGTTCAGCATTACTGGAACCATTATGCTGGGTTCTAATTCCAACTTCAATCACCTACTAGCTATGAGACCTCGAGCAAATCACTTAACCTATCTCTGCCTCCGCTTCCTGCTCTGTAAATGAGATAATACTATGTACCTATATCTAATTGGGCTGATATAAGAATGAAACAAACAATGCAAGTAAAGAAATTAGCAGACTAACACACGCTGACAATAGTTAGCATATAGTGAGGATACATTATGTGCCAAGAGTTACTCTAAATGCCTTCTGTGTAATACATCATTTAAATTCTTACAACAAACTCATGGGATAGACACCATTATTACATTTTACAAACGGGGTAACAGACACGGAAAGGTTAAATGTAACTTGCTCAAGTTTACACTGCTTGTTAAGTGGTACAGTCAAGATTTAAACTAGTTGTATAGCTCCAATATGCACACTCTTAACTATCAGTCCATATTAATGATTTATTAAGAATTCTTAACTCTTATTATTTATGTAGCTACATAAAAAATTGTTTTGACTATGAACTTAAATGCTTATTAATATGGGAATGATTAGTAATGCATATTAGAAAATTTGAAATTTTAGAAAAAGGAAAAAGCTAAATATAAGTATAGAGTAGAGCTTAGGAAGGAAAAAAAAAAGCTATAAAGTTATATAATGGGATATGATTACGTAGACCAAGTTAAAAAACATCTTGGCTTAACTGTAGATCAGAAAATGACTATGAGTCAGCAATATGGGGAAAATTACTGTACTGAAGAAACAAGCACACCACTGGATATTAACAAGTATCTCATCAGAAGCTGAAAATTACATTCAGCTCTGGTCAGACCCTATTAAAATATGAAGTACATAAGACTATAAAGAAGCTAAGGAAAGTTTTTTTAAAAGACATGGAATATATAGAAAATCCAATTTGCAAAGGCAAATTATAGGGACTACGATTATTCAACTCAGAAAAAAAGGTAGCCAGGCACGGTGGCTCATGCCTGTAATCATGGCACTTTGAGAGGCTGAGGCCAGCAGATCGCTTGAGCCCAGAATTGAGACCAGCCTGGGCAACATGGCGAAACTCTGTCTCTACAAAAAATACAAAAATTATCTGAGCATGGTGATGCACACCTGTAGTCCCAGCTACTGGGGAGGTTGAGGAGGGAGGATTGCTTAAACTCAGGAGGCACAGGTTGCAGTGAGCCAAGATCACACCACTGTACTCCAGCCTAGGTGACAGAGTGAGACCCTGTCTCAAAAAATAATAATAATTTTTAAGAAAAAAAGGCTGGGGGGAGGGTTACTCAGCTGTCAAAACTGGAAGGATTTTTTTTTTAAGTTTACTTTAAAACTTTGTAGTTCCAGTTATTAAACCTACGAATGGGCAAGATTCAGAAGCTATAGATCTCCTTTCCTGGAGAACTTTCAAAAAGCACTCTTTATACCAGTTATCTCTTAGGTATTCATTTAAGTTGGCAAAAGATAAAATTACGGCCGGGTGCAGTGGCTCACACCGGTAATTCCTGCATTTTGGGGAGGCTGAAGCAGGTAGATCACTTGAGGTCAGGAGTTCGTCACCAGCCTGGCCAACATAGGGAAACTCTGTCTCTACCAAAATACAAAAATTAGCCGGGTGTGGTGGCATGCACTTGTAATACCAGCTACCTGGGAGGCTGAGGCAGGAGAACTGCTTGAACCCAGGAGGTGGAGGTTGCAGTGACCTGAGATCATGCCACTACACTCCAGCGTGGGCGACAAAGCAAGACTCTGTCTCGAAAAATAAGAATAAAAATAAAAGATAAAATTACAGACAAATGGAGTCTTAAAGATAAAAATGTGCTATGAATCATTTGATATGTTCCCTCCTAGAAGACAGGGGGTTTGGTAGTTACAACTCCATGCAAGCTCTATTATTCTACTTTATACTTATCCCTCTTAATTAAGGAGTTGCAGAGATTCTATTTGGATATAAAATTCATTCTATTCATAGGTAAGCTATGGTCATTAAATTATTTAAGATTTTATATATTATTATGAGCTTTTTTTTACAAAACAGTTACACAGCCTTAAAAAAAAGTTAAATTTTGGCCCAAACATATCAAGTCAATAATAGCAAGTGATAAAAGAATCATGTGCTTCATACATTTTCAAAAAGTTCAAACAGGGAAATAGTACTGTACCTGCCGAAACCTCTTTTTTATTTCTTCATCTGTAACTTCAGGATCTATCTGAAGAACCTGGAAGTATCAAAATCAAAACCATAAAAAAGGTGAAAATAAATTACATGTATATTTAAGAGTTGCTCAGTAATTATATATATTATAATCAGCATCTAGAATAGTACCCCATGTTCTAGAACACAGGCTGGCACACAGTTCTAGAAATTGCTAAAGAAATATGAATGATCAAATCAACAGAATAACAATTATATTGTCTTATGGTACTCAAATAACATAATGCTTATTTTCATCATAAAAATAATAATTTATTTTACACCCAGAGACATTTTTACATGAGAAAATTTTGCATTTCTCCTTCATTCATTAAAAGAGTTTAACTCCCCCTCCCTTTATTTTTGCAAATGTCGAGAAACCGTAATAACTCAAAAAAGAAAAAAATAGCCCAATGGACACTTTATAATTTACAAGGCCCAGTGGTTCTCAATCAGAGTGAATATTAGAATCACCTGTGGAAACCTGTGAGCAATGGCTGGCCCACTCTACGAAAGTCTGATTCCAACCCCATAGAGCAGGGGTAGGGCCAATAGGAGGAACAACTCTATTTTTTTTTTTTTTGAGATGGAGTCTCGCTCTTATTGCCCAGGCTGGAGTGCAATGGCGAGATCTCGGCTCACTGCAACCTCCACCTCCGCGGTTCAAGCGATTTTCCTGCCTAAGCCTCCTGAGTAGCTGGGATTACAGGCACGTGCCACCACACCTGGCTAATTTTGTAATTTTAGTAGACACAGGGTTTCTCCATGTTGGTCAGGCTGGTCTCAAACTCCAGACTTCAGGTGATCCGCCTGCCTCAGCCTCCCAAAGTGCTGGGATTACAGGTGTGAGCCACCGCGCCCAGCCTTAAGCAACACTTCTTTAAACAAATAATTTTTTTTTTTTTCGAGACAGTGTCTCACTTTGTTGCCCAGGCTGGAGTGCAGTGGCATAATCATAGGTCACTGCAGCCTCAAGCTCTGGGGCTCAAGTGGTCCTCTGGTCTCAGCCTCTTGAGCAACTAGGACTGTAAGTATGTGGAGCGCACAACCATGCCTGGTGACTTTTTAAAATGTTTTTAGAGATGGGGTCTCCCTGGCCGGGCGCAGTGGCTCACGCCTGTAATCCCAGTACTTTGGGAGGCCAAGGCAGGGAGATCACTTGAGGCTAGGAGATTGAGACGAGCCTGGCCAACATGGAGAAACCCCGTCTCTACTAAAAATACAATATTAGCCAGGCGTAGTGGCGCATGAAAATGAGAATTTTCAAGTCAGTGCGCCCCACTCTCATAACTTCCCAAGGAGAAAGGAACTGGGAAAGTCACTCAATAGGAAGAGCGAAGTCACGTAAGATTTACAGACGAGGGACTGTAACTGTACATACAAAAATATTCATAGGAAAACCACTAGTTCTGAGGAAAAGGAATCTCTAGGGGCAAACCAAAGTCCAACAAATCCCAGAGGATGCCCAAATAAAAGAAAGAACAGAAACTGTCCCACCCTCACAAAAAAAGCCTCTGATAAGATTATAGCTTACAACTAATCATGCCAAATGTAATTCATAAACCCTGATTGATTTTTTAAAAATAAATTTTGCTGTGTGTATTTGGGGATTACAACATGATGTTATGGGATATATACAGACAGTAAAATGGTTATAGTGGTTCTTGAGTTAAAAAAAAAACCTAAAATAGCTATAAAGGAGATTTTGGGGACAGCTGGGCCCATTTGCATGTGGACTGTATGCTGGATAAAGTTACTTGATGTTGTTTTCCTATGGCTAAAGTTTCCTAAGCTCTAATTTTATTACAGGCTTTTTTTGTGAAGGTGGGGCGATTTCTTTTTTTTTTTTTTTTTGAGACGGAGTTTTGCTCTTGTTGCCCAGGCTGGAGTGCAATGGTGTGATCTCGGCTCACTGCCACCTCCGCCTCCCAGGTTCAAGCGATTCTCCTGCCTCAGACTCTCGAGTAGCTGGGATTACAGGCATGCGCCACCACGCCCGGCTCATTTTGTATTTTTAGTAGAGATGGGGTTCCTCCATGTTAGTCAGGCTGGTCTTGAACTCCCAACTTCAGGTGATCCGCCTGCCTCGGCCTCCCAAAGTGCTGGAATTACAGGTGTGAGCCACCGCGCCTGGCCTTAAGCAACACTTCTTTAAACAAATAATTTTTTTTTTTTTTTGAGACAGTGTCTTACTTTATTACCCAGGCTGGAGTGCAGTGGCATAATCATAGGTCACTGCAGCCTCGAGCTCTGGGGCTCAAGTGGTCCTCTGGTCTCAGCCTCTTGAGCAACTAGGACTGTAAGTGCGTGGAGCACACAACCATGCCTGGTGACTTTTTTAAATGTTTTTAGAGATGGGGTCTCCCTGGCCAGGCACAGTGGCTCACGCTTGCAATCCCAGTACTTTGGGAGGCCAAGGCAGGGAGATCACTTGAGGCTAGGAGTTTGAGACAGGCCTGGCCAACATGGAGAAACCCCGTCTCTACTAAAAATACAAAATTAGCCGGGCATGGTGGCGCATGAAAATGAGAATTTTCAAGTCAGTGCGCCCCACTCTCATAACTTCCCAAGGAGAAAGGAATTGGGAAAGTCACTCAATAGGAAGAGCGAAGTCACGTAAGATTTACAGACGAGGGGCTGTAACTGTTCATACAAAAATATTCATAGGAAAACCACTAGTTCTGAGGAAAAGGAATCTCTAGGGGTAAACCAAAGTCCAACAAAACCCAGAGGACGTCCAAATAAATGAGAAAGAACAGAAATTGTCCCACCCTCACAAAAAAAGCCTCTGATGAGGTTATAGCTTACAACTAATCATGCCAAATGTAATTCATAAACCCTGATTGATTTCTTTTTTAAAAATAAATTTTGCTGTGTGTATTTGGGGATTACAACATGATGTTATGGGATATATACAGACAGTAAAATGGTTATAGTATAGTGGTTCTTTAGTTAAAAAAAAACTAAAATAGCTATAAAGGGGATTTTGGGGACAGTTGGGCCCATTTGCATGTGGACTGTATGCTGGATGAAGTTACTTGACGTTGTTTTCCTATGGCTAAAGTTTCCTAAGCTCTAATTTTATTAGAGGCTTTTTTCATGAAGGTCGGATGGTTTCTATTCTTTTTTTTTTTTTTTTTTGAGATGGAGTTTCGCTCTTGTTGCCCAGGCTAGAGTGCAATGGTGTGATCTTGGCTCACTGCAACCTCCGCCTCTGGGATTCAAGCGATTCTCCTGCCTCAGCCTCCTGAGTAGCTGGAATTACAGGCATGTGCCACCACGCCCGGCTCATTTTGTATTTTTAGTAGAGACGGGGTTTCTCCATGTTGGTCAGGCTGGTCTCGAACTCCCGACTTCAGGTGATCTGCCCACCTCAGCCTCCCAAAGTGCTGGGATTACAGGCGTGAGCCACCGCACCCAGCCTTAAGCAACACTTCTTTAAACAAATAATTTTTTTTTTTTTGAGACAGTGTCTCACTTTGTTGCCCAGGCTGGAGTGCAGTGGCATAATCATAGGTCACTGCAGCCTCGAGCTCTGGGGCTCAAGTGGTCCTCTGGTCTCAGCCTCTTGAGCAACTAGGACTGTAAGTGCGTGGAGCACACAACCATGCCTGGTGACTTTTTAAAATGTTTTTAGAGATGGGGTCTCCCTGGCCAGGCACAGTGGCTCACGCCTGTAATCCCAGTGATTTGGGAGGCCAAGGCAGGGAGATCACTTGAGGCTAGGAGTTTGAGACAGGCCTGGCCAACATGGAGAAACCCCGTCTCTACTAAAAATACAATATTAGCCAGGCATGGTGGTGCATGAAAATGAGAATTTTCATGTCAGTGTGCCCCACTCTCATAACTTCCCAAGGAGAAAGGAATTGGGAAAGTCACTCAATAGGAAGAGCAAAGTCACATAAGATTTACAGACGAGGGACTGTAACTGTTCAAACAAAAATATTCATAGGAAAACCACTAGTTCTGAGGAAAAGGAATCTCTAGGGGCAAACCAAAGTCCAACAAATCCCAGAAGGCGCCCAAATAAATGAGAAAGAACAGAAATTGTCCCACCCTCACAAAAAAAGCCTCTGATAAGATTATAGCTTACAACTAATCATGCCAAATGTAATTCATAAACCCTGGTTGATTTCTTTTTAAAAAATAAATTCTGCTGTGTGTATTTGGGGATTACAACATGATGTTATGGGATATATACAGACAGTAAAATGGTTATAGTGGTTCTTGAGTTAAAAAAAAAAACCCTAAAATTGGCCAGGTGTGGCGGCTCACGCCTGTAATCCCAGCACTTTGGGAGGCGGAGGCAGACAGATCACTAGGTCAGGAGATCGAGACAATCCTGGCTAACACGGTGAAACATCATCTCTACTAAAAATACAAAAAAATTAGCCAGGTGTGGTGGCGGGCGCCTGTGGTCCCAGCTACTCAGGAAGCTGAGGCAAGAGAATGGCATGAACCCGGGAGGCGGTGCTTGCAGTGAGCCGAGATCGTGCCACTGCACTCCAGCCTGGGCAACAGAGTGAGACTCTGTCTCAATAAATAAATAAATTAAACTAAAATAGCTATAAAGGAGATTTTGGGGACAGCTGGGCCCATTTGCATGTGGACTGTATGCTGGATAAAGTAACTTGATGTGGTTTTCCTATGGCTAAAGTTTCTTAAGCTCTAGTTTTATTAGAGGCTTTTTTTGTGAAGTTCGGACGATTTCTATTCTTTTTTTCTTTCTTTCTTGAGACAGAGTCTTGTTCTGTCAAGTGCAGTGGAGCAATCTCAGCTCACTTCAACCTCCGCCTCCTGGTTCAAGCAATTCTCCTGCCTCAGCCTCCTGAATAGCTGGGACTTCAGGTGTTTGCCACCATGCCCAGCTAATTTTTTGTATTTCAGTAGAGATGGGGTTTCACCATGTTGGCCAGGCTGGTCTCAAACTCCTGAACTCAGGCAATCTGCTCACCTCAGCCTCCCAAAGTGCTAGGATTACAGGCGTGAGCCACTGTGCCCGGCCTTTCTATTCTTTCTTAGTGTTATTTTCCAATGGGTGATAGTGTTGTGGTTACACGGAATTGTTCTTGTTTCGAGGAGATGCATGCTAAAGTATTTAGGCATTAAGTGTTAACAACACCTGGAGCTTACTTTCACCACATGATTGGGCAAAAAGGAGGAGAGTATATATACCTACATACACATACAAACACACACTCCAAAAGTTATTTTTCCAAGAGTTATATCAGAACAAATATTCACTGAGTGCCTTCAAAGCCAATCCAACTCCTCTTTTGTCTTTAAGAGCTGGAGGTGCCACACGTGGCATGGTGAAGACAATGGACTTTTACCTGCGGCCGGTCCTCTTTGAAGCCAGCTTTATACATTCAGTACCAACTTGTAGAGCACAAAAATTTTCTAAGATAGCTAGATACTGTGCTCACTACTTTTCTTAGTCTGTTTTGTGTTGCCAGAACAGAATCCCATACAGTGGGCACTTTATAAAGAAAAGAAATGTATTTCTTATACTTCTGTAGGCTGGGAAGTTCAAGGTTGAGTGGCCGTCATCAGGTAAGGGCAAGAGGGGGCTAAACTCACATATGTAACAAGTCTATTCTTGAGATAACTAATCCACTCCCAAGATGAGGACATTAATCCAATTGTGAGGGCAGAGACCTAATCACCTCTTATTAGGCCCTACCCTGAAAAGCTGTTGCATTGGGATTAAATTTCTAACACATGAATTTGGGGGACACATTCTAACCACAGCTCTACTGTCCTCACAGAATTTAAGAATTACTGTTCTCACAGTAGATAAGGGAGAGACAAGTAACAAGTAATTCTGACAAAAATGATAAATGCCTTATTACCAACATGGCTCCAAGCACACAGGTCTGTTCAGATTCTTGGAAGGTTTTTCTGAACTCCTGTTGCGTCTCAGGCTTTTAGGATATGGAGGGAGAGACCCACAGTTTTGAACCTCAGGGAGCTAATTAATCATCACACAGAAACAAAAATGCTTAACTGTTGCATTCAGATAAGTTCCTGAACTCAAAATGTAACAGCCATCTCCTTTAGGATCTTCTGCTTGAAAAAGGAATCCAGGCTGGGCGCGGTGGCTCACGCCTGTAATCCCAGCACTTTGGGAGGCTGAGGCGGGTGGATCACGAGGTCAGGAGATCGAGACCATCCTGGCTAACATAGTGAAACCCCGTCTCTATGAAAAATACAAAAAATTAGCCGGGCGTGGTGGCGGGCGCCTGTAGTCCCAGCTACTCGGGAGACTGAGACAGGAGAATTGCTTGAACCCGGGAGGCGGAGGTTGCAGTAAGCCGAGATCGTGCCCCTGCACTCCAGCCTGGGCAACAAGAAGGAAACTCTGTCTCAAAAAGGGAAAAAGAGAAAGAAACAAAGAAAGAAAGAACAGTCAGGGAGTCCTGCCCACTCAAACACAATCTTGCAGCTTTCAGAGCGTGCAAACTCACCATATCGTCACACATCTAAACATACTTCCTATAGTGAGAACAAAGGCTACAGGGCAATGAGTTCCACTTTCAGAACTACAATAACTAATAGGGCACTAAAATCCTAGCGTTTCACACTGATGCCCAACAATCTGTCCCTTCTCATCCATCAGGTCCCCACAGGAGATACTAATTACCTTAACAAAAAATAAATTATATGGTCATATGTTCCCTTTCATGGTACTATGCTCGATTTTAAAGTATGGCTAGATAGAAAGAACATACCATAAATTCTTTATCATCTCTCCAGCAAATCATCTTCCCCTAGGCCCTCCCCAAAATCATATCAAAAGTACTCTTCAATATTTATACATCCATGTTTATAGCAACACTTTTCTCAATAGCTAAGATGTAGAACAACCCATGTCCATCAGCGGATGAATGAATAGGCAAAATGTGGTATATCCATACAACAGATTACCATTCAGCCTTAAAAAGAAGGAAATTCTACAATATGCTACAACATTGAAGAACCCAAGACATTGTACTAGATGAAATAAGCCAGTCACGAAAAGGCAAACACTATGATTCCTTTTATATGAGGTACTTGGTCAAAGTCATAGAGACAAAAAGTAGAATGGTGGTTACCAGGGGCTGGGGAGGGAGGAATGCGGAATTATTGTTTAATGGGTATACAATTTCAGTTTTACAAGATGAAAAGAGTTATGAGGATGGATAATAGTAATGGTTGGACAACACTATGAGTGTATTTAAAAACAATGAACTGGCTGGGCACAGTGGCTCACACCTGTAATCCCAGCACTTTGGGAGGCTGAGGCGGGTGGATCACCTGAGGTCAGGCGTTCGAGACCAGCCTGACTAACATGGTGAAACCCCATCTCTACCAAAAATACAAAAATTAGCCGGATGTGGTGGCATGCACCTGTAGTCCCAGCTACTCAGGAGGCTGAGACAGGAGAATTGCTTGAATCCAGGTGGCGGAGGTTGCAGTAAGCCGAGATCACGCCACTACACTCCAGCCTGGGTGATAAAGCAAGACTCCATCTCAAAAAAAAAAAAAAAAAAAAAATGAACTGGTTAAGATGGTAAATTTTATGTTATGTGTATTTTACAATTTTAAAAATTGAAAAAAAAAGTAATCTTCAAGCTTTTTATCTCCCCCTTCCCTTCCTAAGCAATAAATCCAAATCCATTAAGTGGGGTCAGGCAAAACAGACGTCTACTCTGGGTGGGAGTCACATGGCCCAGAGCACAGTGTCAGAGCCCACCTGGAACAAGGAAGGCAGTGACCACACAGAAAGTAGTGGCTAGTCACAGGGTGCTGAAGCCCAAATGGGGTGAGAAGGGCATCCACAGAGAAGGACAGCCTAACATGGTGTACAAAGAAGTTCAGAAAGGCATCCCCATAGACAGGGAGGCCAGCACAGGAACATCAGAACCTAAGCAGGGGGAAAATGTCAGCATGGGAGGGCAGCCAGCGCAGGATATCAGGGCCCAAGAGGGATGAGGAAAGCATCCGTGTGGAAGTAGAATCCAACACAGGGTGTCTGAGACCAAGCAAGGTACGGAGGGTGTCCACAGGGGAAGGTAGCCTGGCACAGGGTACAAGAACCCAAGCAAGGACATTCCCACAAAGGGCAGCCAAGCATGGGGTATGGAAGCCTGGTATGGTGAGAAGGGTGTCCAAGTAGTAGGGCATCCAGTGTGAAAAGGCAGCCCAACACAAGGTTCAGAGCCCAAAAAATATGAAAAGAGACATGGTATGTGGAGCCAGACCCCGAGTAAGAGGAGAAAGGTGTTCATGGAAGAAGGTGGCTTGACGGAGGATGTCAAAGCCAGAGCAGGGTAGGGAAGATGCCTACTCAGCGGGGAGGATCAGTGTGGGATGCTGGAGCCCATGATCAGTGAAAAGGGCCCCCAGCAGGAAGAGAGCAGGCTCAGAAAGCCAGAGAGCCACATGGAAGGGTGGCCTGACATGGGAGTTCAGAGCCCAGGTGTGGTGAGAAAGGTTTTTGCATAGACATATCCTGGTGCTGGTATCAGAGTACAGCGGGGTGAGGAGAGCATTCAGAGGGAAGGAGTGGCAGTGGGAAGTTAGTTGCATACAGAGAGATCAATTAAGTAAATGTAGATATTAAATTCTGTAGGAGCCAGCGCCAGGTGCACTGGCTGTAATGCTATAATCAATCCCAGTACTTTGGGAGGCCAAGGGAGGATCATTTGAGGCCAAGAGTTTGTGATCAACCTGGGCAACATAGTGAGACCTTGTCTTTACAAAAAAAAAAAAAAGAAAAAAAGAATAATAATAAAGAAAAGATAGTGGGAACCAGGTTTCTAACTATTAGAATAAATCCTGTGGGGTTGGACTGAAAATGGATGTTGGGTGTAAACATATATGTACACACACAAACACACAGACTCCAGGGTCTGTAAGCTGTGATATCCCAACAGCAATGAATCTACCTAGCATTCAAATCTTGATTTCTATATATCATTCTCTGCCAAAAGGAACCAGCGCTCCTTGGTGAAATGGTTAATTCCAGGCTGGGTCAGGAAAAACACAAAAGTGCCTACTAATCAAAGAATGATGAAGACATATGAAAGACACAGGAGCTAGATTGAAAGGTAACCCACTGGCCAAACTTGAGACAATCTGAGCATCAAAATAAACATAAAATTACAACGTACTGAATAAAATAGAAAAACCTAAGTCCATACTGGCAAATAAATGAACTAAAATTTTGATATGGACAGGATATTTACCAAGTTTCAAAGCACCTCCACATAAAATACTTATTCATTACAAAGGGGAAAAATAGTAACCTCATGACACTTCTTTTTATTTTTGAGATGGAGTCTCACTCTGTCGCCCAGGCTGGAGTGCAATGGTGCAATCTCGGCTCACTGCAACCTCTGCCTCCCAGGTTCAAGCAATTCTCCTGCCTCAGCCTCCCAAGTAGCTGGGATTACAGGGGCACTCCATCACACCCGGTTAATTTTTTTATTTTTAGTAGAGACAGGGTTTCACCATGTTAGCCAAGCTGGTCTTGAACTCCTGACCTCAAGTGATCTGCCCGCCTCAGCCTCCCAAAGTGTTGGAATTACAGGTGTGAGCCACCGCGCCTGGCCAGGGAGACCCCATCTTACAAAACAAAACAAACACGCCAGGTGTGGTGGCTCACGCCTGAAATCCCAGCACTTTTTGGGAGGCTGAGGAGGGCGGATCATGAGGTCAGGAGTTCGAGACAAGCCTGGCCAGCTTGGTGAAACCCCATCTCTACTAAAAATACAAAAAATTAGCAGGGCATGGTGGCACGCTCCTGTAATCCCAGCAACCAGGGAGGCTGAGTCAGGAGAATCACTTGAACCCGTGAGGCGGAGGTTGCAGTGAACCGATATTGCGCCACTGCACTCCAGTCTGGGCAGTGGAGTGAGACTCTGTCACGAAACAAACAAACAAACCAAAGAGCCAAACACAGTGGCTCACACCTTGAATCCCAGTATTTTGAAAATCTGAGGTAGGAGGATCAATTGAGCCCAGAGCCCAGGAGTTCGAGGTTGCAGTGAGCTATACAGTGAGCGGAGTGATAGAGAGGCCCTGAAAAACACCTTTTTGGGACAATTAGTAAAACCTGAATGGGGTCTGATGATTATATAGTAACAATGTATCCAGAGAGGCCCTGAGAAAGACTTTTTTGGGACAATTAGTAAAATTTGAATGGGGTCTGATGATTTACATAGTAACAATGTATCAGGGTTCATTTCCTGATTTTGATAGTTTATATTGTGGTTCAGTAAGAGGATATTTGTAGAAAAATCACATTAAAGTATATCAGGGTGATGGACCATCATACTAACAATTTACTCTTAAAGAGTTCAAGGAAAAGTCTTCATATTGTATTTGAAATATTTGTTAATCTGAGATTATTTATAAATGAAAAAATTCTTGAAAAATTACTCTTCAAAAAACAGAAAACAGATGAACCTTGAAAATATCATGCTAAGTGAAATAAGCCAGACACAAAGTAACAAATACGGTACCATTCCACTTACACGGGTTTCCTAGAAGAGGCAAATTCATAGACAAAGTAGAGTAGAGGTTACCAGGGGTCAGGGAGAAAATGAGGAGTTACTGTTTAGTGGATACAGAGTTTCTGGTTGGGGTGACGAAAAATTTCTGAATATGAACAGTGGTGATGGTTACACAACACTGTGAATGTACTTAATGCCACTGAATTGTAAAACTAAAAAAAAATTTAAATGGTAATTTTTTTTTTTTTTTTTGAGACAGTCTCGTTCTGTCGCCCAGGCTGGAGTACAGTAGCACAATCTCGGCTCACTGCAACCTCCGCCTCCTGGGTTTAAGTGATTCTTGGGCCTTAGCCTCCCAAGTAGCTGAGATTACAGGCATGCACCACCATGCCCAGCAATGTTTGTATTATTTTTGTGGAGATGGGGTTTCGCCATGTTGGCCAGGCTGGTCTCAAACTCCTGGCCTAAAGTGATCCTCCCACCTTGGCCTCCCAAAGTGCTGAGATTACAGGCGTGAGCCACCACACCTGGCCAAAATGGCAAATTTTATGTTATATATATTTTTCCACAATAAAAAAAAGTGAGGGGAGTTTTTTTCTAAGTGCCCAATAAGTGTTGTTTCTATTATTTAACAGATACAAAAATATTCACTTCAAAATTATTTGTAAATGTGAACAATTAGAAAGTAGTTTAGGGAGTCTCTCTGAACCTATTCTGGTTCAGAGGGCCGCCTGTTAAAAAAACTTTTTAAAGATCTGGGTGTGGTGGCTCACGTCTGTAATCACGGCACTTTGAGAGGCCGAGGCAGGCAGATCACAAGGTCAGGAGTTTGAGAAAAGCCTGGCCAATATGGTGAAACCCATCTCTACAAAAAATACAAAAATTAGCCAGGCGTGGTGGCACATGCCTGTAGTCCCAGCTACTCGGGAGGCTGAGGCAGAAGAATCGCTTGAACCCGGGAGGCAGAGGTTGCGGTGAGCCGAGATTGCGCCACTGCACTCCAGCCTGGGCGACAGAGACTCCATCTCAAAAAAAAAAATTTTAGAAAGAAATAAACTAGCTAAACTATTCCACAATAAAGAAATGATTAAATAAATTATATGGAATTTTTTTTACCCCCCAGTCTATTATTTTATAACCAGTTCATAAAAAGTTTCTTGGGGGGTGACATATTACTTACACATCTATTGTGTAGTAAACATGTATGTATATGTGTGTGTACCCAACTACTTTGTTGGAGTGATTGCTGTGGTTTGGAACTGCTGGGGCCAAATTTATGCACAAATCTACATTTTTGAGTAAACTCCTCATGACTAGAGTAAGTTTCCTCAGTATTTGAGAATTCTTCATTTTCTAAAGCTGTACCAACATCAGATATCAATATTTGTAAGCACAAATAATGTAATTTATAATAAAATTGCTTTCTCAACTATTAGTATTAACTATATATCATCTTCATATAGCCTTATAACTCATTTGTACTATTCCATTTTCCTCTGTTCCTTTTATTTTCACTTTCCGTGTAATGTTAGTCTGTACTGAGTTCTGAAGAGTTCATTTATGATTAAAGATGTTAACAGATTTAACATCTTGTCAAGCATTGCAAAAAAAAAAAAAGAATTTCTCTCTCTCTCTTTTTTTTTTTTTTTTTTTTTTGGACAGGCGCGGTGGCTCACACCTATAATCCTAGCACTTTGGGAGGCCGCGACAGGTGGATCGCCTGAGCTCAGGAGTTCGAGACCAACCTGAACAATATGGCAAAACCCCGTCTCTACTAAAAATACAAAAATTAGCCAAGCATGGAGGCAGGCACCTGTAATCTCAGCTACTCGGGAGGCTGAGGCAAGAGAAACACTTGAATCTGGGAGGCGGAGGTGCAGTGAGCCAAGATTGCACCATTACACTCCAGCTTAGGTGACAGAGTGAGACTTCATCTCAAAAAAAAAAAAAAAAAAGCATTTAAAACAGCACTGAGGCTGGACATGGTGGCGAATGGCTGTAATCCTAGCACTATGGGAGCCCAAGGTGGGCAAATCGTTTGAACCCAGGAGTTCAAGGGTGCAGTAAGCCATGATTGCACCACTGCACTCTAGCCTGGGTGACAGTGAGACCCTGTCTCAAAAAAATAAAATAAAATAAAATCGTATTGAGCTGAGCCAGGTGTGGTGTCATATGCCTGTAATCCCATCTACTCCAGAGGCTGAGCAGGTCAAGGAGATCACTTAAGCCCACGAGTTCTAAGCCAGCCTGGGCAACATAATGAGGCCCCATCTCTTTAAAAAAGAAAAAGAAGAAGAAGAAGAAGAAGGATTAAGTGTATGATGCTCCCTGTTTTTAAGCAAAACAGTTTGAGTGTAAACAGGAGTGGCTATTTCTCTTAGGTGGGATTATATATGATTATTCTTGCTTTCTGTACATTTGCAACAAATATGATTTACTTTTATAACCAGGAAAAGTTTAAAGCTATAAAATTAAGAAAATCAAAAAGTATATTCATTTATCTAAAATCTTGTGATCTTTGTTTTGTTGTTGTTGGGTTTTTGGCATTTATTATAGTGAAACAGAAGTTTTAACAAGTAGTTTAAATCAAGAATCCTAGGCTGGGCGCAGTGGCTCACGCCTGTAATCCCAGCACTTTGGGAGGCTGAGGCGGGTGGATCACAAGGTCAGGAGTTCGAGACCAGCCTGGCCAACATGGTGAAACCCCATCTCTACTAAGAATACAAATATTAGCCAGGCACAGTGGTGGGCACCTGTAATCCCACCTACTCGGGAGGCTGAGGCAGGAGAATTGCTTGAACCTGGGAGAAGGAGGTTGCAGTGGGTCAAGATCGCGCCACTGCACTCCAGCCTGGGGGACAGAGCAAGACTCCGTCTCAAAAAAAAAAAAAAAAAAAAAGAATCCTAAACTTATTAGAGCTAGCCACCCCTTCACATCTGAAATTAAATCCTTATATATTTGGGTTGCTAAAAGATGATGAAAGATATGTGACCATCTCACTTTCCTTAACATGCTGTCTCTCCAGTTCTGCTCGGTACAATCACCCAAGTTTAAAGACAATCTATATACAGGTTACATATCCCTAATCCAAAAATGCAAAATCCAAAATGCTCCAAAATCTGAAACTTTCTGAGAGTCAACTGATGCTCAAAGAAAATGCTCATTAACATTCTGAATTTTCTAATTTGGGATGCTTCAACCAGTAAGTAAGCAGAATGTATGTATATATTCCAAAATCCCAAAAAAATCCAAAATCCAAAAAACTTCTGGTCCCAAGCATTTTGGATAAGGAATACTCAATTTTGTACTATACAGATTCCATCACTTTACTCCACCATTTTTCTCAATCCTAACTATGATATAAATTAGGTATGTATTCTGATGTAGGTATGCCTGCAGCTATGCAAATCTCCCCCATTACAGAGGCCCTAGCAACATCAATCGGCTCACCTCAAATGGGTTCAAATTGAAGTAAGAGGAACCAGGACGGGTCAGTCTTTCAATCTGATTTTTCGAAGTTAGAACCGAGTCTCTCTTCTCTATTTGTTTCACCTAAAATTATGAGGATTAAAAACTTCATTAATAGAATTCAATAACAAACTGAATTATCTTAACAAAATGTTCACTGATATGTTCAACAAACATTTATTTGTGTGTTTACCATGTGCAAGACATTTTGCTAAATGCTTTGAGAAATTAAAACTACCATTTGTTGAATTTTAATATAAAAACCTTACATGTATTTATTAATCTCAACAACCCTATGTGGTAGATACTGCTGTTATACCCAATTCACAGATAAGAATACTGAGGCTTAGAGAAGGTAACTGACTTGTTCCCAATTACCCAACTTGTAAGCCAGAATTTTAACCCCAACAGTTTGACCCCACAGCAGGCATCAAGAGGATTCAAAGATAAATAAGTCACAGCCTTTAAAGAACTTCCACTTTAATGATGGAAGATGTGCTTGTGTGTGATTATACTTCATTTATAGCTTTTAATTTTAAGAAAAAAAAAATAGGCTGGGCACAGTGGCTCACGCCTGTAATCCCAACACTTTGGGAGGCTGGGGGGTGGGCAGATCATGAGGTCAGGAGATGGAGTCCATCCTGGCCAACATGGTGAAACCCCGTCTCTACTAAAAATACAAAAAATTAGCTGGGCATGGTGGCATGGCGTGTAGTCCCAGCTACTTGGGAGGCTGAGGCAGGAGAATCGCTTGAACCCCAGGGACAGAGGTTGCAGTGAGCCAAGATCGCGCCACTGGACTCCAGCCTGGGAGACACAGCGAGACTCCGTCTCAAAAAAGAAAAAAAAAAAGTAAGAGATTTCTCTGTGAGGAAAAAAAATAAAGAAAAAAATTTAAAGAGCAAAAAAAGGAAAAATACAATCACAGTAAGACATAAACTATGAGCAGCATTTAAAACTGTTGATGGGAAGGAACAAACAACTCCACCACCTAATTCTAATAGTGTTAGAAAAAATCCCTGACTTGGCCAGGCGGAGTAGCTGTCACCTGTAATCCCAACATTTTGGGAGGCTGAGGTGGGTGGATTGCTTGAGCTCAGGAGTTTGAGACAAGCCTGGGCAACATGGCGAAACCCCATCTCTATTTTTAATTTAAAAAAAAGAAAGAAAGAAAAAAGAAAAATCCCTGACCTGAAGACAATGCCAGGGAGAACAAGCACCAGGCAGTCCCAGGAAAACATTCTTGGTGTCACTGTCAGAGTTGGAATGCTAGTTGGAATGAATCTCTGGTATGCTATATGCCATCTTTATTCCTATAGCCAAAACAAGGTTGGAAAGAATTTCATTAACATAAAAAGTCATTCCTTCTAGACATCTTCCCTCTTCACTCTATGAAAACAGGATTTTTTTTCTCTCTTGTTCACTACCGTATCCTCAACACCTAAATAGCAAACTAGTACATTTCCAATGTTCAATAAACATCTGTTAAATGAATGAGGCCAGTGTGGTGGCTTATGCCTGTAATCCCAGCACTTTGGGAGTCTGAGGCAGGAGGATCACTTGGGTGCAGGAATTCAAGACCAACCTGAGCAACATGGCAAGACCTTGTCTCTATTTTTTAAAAAAATGACTGAATTACCCTTCCTTAGATATTTTTTCCCATCCAATTCAAACAAAGGTTGCCATTTGGTTTTTTGTTTGTTTTTGTTTTTTGAGAAGGGGTCTTGCTCTGTCACCCAGGGTGTACTGCAGTGACAGAAGACAGATCATGGCTCACTGCAACCTCCACCTCCTGGGCTCAAGTCATCCTCCAGTCCTCTTGCCTCAGCCTTCCGGGCAGCTGAGACTACAGGCAGTGCCTGCCAGGTGTCTAGACCTAAATGTAATACTTTGGAGAAACTACTATGTAACAAGTACTGTTACAATTGCAAGAAATAAAAGATGGATGTGATATGGTCCTTAACCCTGAATAGCTCACAGCCTGCTGGGGGGCAACTCCATTCCTCAAACCCATGCCACCCTACAGAGGTCCCATCTTCTGCCTTGTTTAACCCTGAGAAAGATGCTTCTGCTTTATTTTTTTATGAAACGCTTTCTTATACAATAACTTTAGTCCTCATGAAAATGTTTATTTTAAAATTAACTCTCTTGCCAAGCACAGTGGCTCATGCCTGTAATCCCAACACTTTGGGAGGCCAAGACGGGAGGATTGCTTGAGCCCAGGAGTTTAAGACCAGCCTGGGCAACACAACAAGACCCTGTCACAACAAAAAAAATACAAAAATCAGCCAGGCATGGTGGCCTGAGCTTGTAGTCCCAGCTACTGATGTGGGAGAATCACTTGAGCCCAGAAGGCAGAGGTTGTGCATTCCAGCTTGGGCAAGAGTGAGGCTCTGTCTCAAAATAAATAAATTAAATTAAATTAACTCTCTTGTTTTTACAGATGTGGAATATGAAGATCTGCAAAATTAATGTCTTGAACAAATTCAATCCCGGCCAGGCGTGGTGGCTCAAGCCTGTAATCCCAGCAACTTTGGGAGGCCGAGGCGGGAGGACCTTAAGTCAGGAGATCAAGACCAGTCTGGCCAACATGGTGAAACCCCCGTCTCTACCAAAAATACAAAAATTAGCCAGGCGTGGTGGCAGGCGCCTGTAATCCCAGCTACTCGGGAGGCTGAGGCGAGAGAATCACTTGAACCAGGGAGGCAGAGGTTGCAGTGGGCCAAGATCGTGCCACTGCACTCCAGGCCTGGGCAACAAGAGCAAAACTCCGCCTTAGGAAAAAAAAAAAGAATTCAATCCCAGTCCAGTCAGGTTAACTGTCTTCCAAGAATTTTTTTCTTTTTTAGACAGTCTCTCGCTCTGTCACCCAAGCTGGAGTGCAGTGGCGCGATCTCTGCTCACTGCAAGCTCTGCCTCCCGGGTTCACGCCATTCTCCTGCCTCAGCCTCCCGAGTGGCTGGGACTACAGGCGCCCACTACCAGGCCCAGCTAATTTTTTGTATTTCTAGTAGAGACGGGGTTTCACCGTGGTCTCGATCTCCTGACCTCGTGATCCGCCCGTCTCGGCCTCCCAAAGTGCTGGGATTACAGGCGTGAGCCACCGCGCCCAACCAAGAATTTTTTTTTCTATCCTTTTTTTCCTTCTTTTTAAAGAGACAGGGTCTCACTCTCGCCAAAAATGGAGTGCAGTGGTCCGATCATAGGTCACTGCAGCCTCGAGCTTTTGGGTTCCTCCCGCCTGGGCCTCCCAAAGTGCTGGGATTACAGATGTGAGCCACTGTGCCCAGCCCCTTGCAATAATTTAATCTGAGATTCTGACTCCAAACGGCATGCTTTTATTTCATTTATTCATTCATTCACTCAACAAATATTTACTGAGCATCCACTACATACTATGCGCTGGAGATGCGATAGTAAAGGAGGCTCAGAACAAGCCCACTGCTGTCCTAACATACCACCAAGCAAGCTGTAACCTACTGTAAGGCCCCAAACTATTTCACCTCCCTAAAGCTCAGGTTCGTCATCTGTAAAATGGGGGTAATATAATGCCTAACTGGCATGATACACAGTGCCTGGCGTTCGTGAATGGCAGAAACAACCACTAAAACAACTCATTACAAAGGACTAAGAAACGTCTCGGGGGCCAAGAAGGCTAAGTCACTCCCAGGAAGGGCCCAGCCTCTGCCAGCCCCCGACTCCGCGGACTTGGGGCACTCTGCCCGCGCGCCCGCACTATGTTGGACACACTCGCCACCTCCCTCGATAGATCGAACACCATTCCCTCTTTCGTTGCCCCGGGGGATCTCCCAGCAGCTATCAGTGGGAGACGCTCACACACCCCCAGACCCCCGCCACCCCGAAGACTGGACTGAAGGAATCGCCCAACGGTCCAGGCCAGGCGGCCACTGCCTTTGTCCACTGGGAAAGCAGATCCGGGAGCGGTCGCCCCGGTGCCACTACTCCTCACTCTGTGTTCACCTCACTGTAGAAGGTCATAAATGCTTCCTCGGTGCTGCCTCCGCCGCCTGAAGTCCCGCTCTCTCCTGAAGCCGCCATTTCCCCGGCCCAGCCACCACGTGACCCTTCTGCGCAGGCGTCGCCTCACGTGATTCTTACAGGTCCGCTCCTCTAGCCCCGCCTCCCGTCTGAGAGGTTCTTAAAGGGCTCGCAGCCCAGCCAGGCACTTTAAAAGTAGGTGGGCTTTTTAAAATTTAAACGAATTACACATAACATATAATTAACCACTTTAAAGTAAATAATGTGCTTAAGTTATTGTTAGGTAAAAAATAATAAGAAGAATAAAAGAAAAAGTGAATAATTCAGTGGGTTTATTTATTTATTTATTTTTGAGACAGGATCTCTGTCGTCCAGGCTGGAGTCGAGTGGTGCAATCACAGCTCACTGCAGCCTCGACCTCCCAAGCTCAAGCGATCCTCTCACTTCAGCCTCCCGAGTAGCTGGGACTGCAGGCGCGCGCCACCATGCCCGGCTAATTTTATGTACTTTTGTGGAGACGGGGTCTTGCCATGTTGCCCAGGCCTCCCAAAGTACAGGAATTACAGGCATGAGCCACCGCGCCGGACCGGCTCAGCTGTCTTCAGAACATTCACAATGTTCTGCAACCACCATGTCTACCTGGTTCCAAAATAGTTTCATCACCTCAAAAGGAGACTTAGTATCTACTTTTTTTTTTTAGACGGAGTCTCACTCTGTCACCCAGGCTGGAGTGCAGTGGCGCCTCCCCGGTTCCAGAAATTCTGCCTTAGCCTCCCGAGTAGCTGAGATTACAGACAAACGCCACCATGCCCCGCTAATTTTTATATTTTTAGTAAAGCCGGATGTTCACCATGTTGGCCAGGATGGTCTACGATCTCCTGACGTCGTAATCCGCTCGCCTTGGCCTCCCAAAGTGCGGGGATTACAGGCGTGAGCCACCGCGCCTGGCCGAGGAGACCTAGTACCTATTAAGCAGTTACTCCCTATTCGCCCCCTCTCCCCAGTCCCTGAAAACAAGCAATCTGTGTTCTATCTATATGGATTTACCTATTCTGGATATTTCACATAAATGGAGTTAAACAATATGTGAATACGTATTTCACATAAATGGAATTAAACAAAATACCAGGTAGGGCTGCTATTTTCTCAACTAAAATATAATCAATAAAGCCAGTTTTACTATTTCATAGAAAACAAAGAAGGTTTTGTTTTGTTTTGTTTTTTTGAGGCAGAGGCTTGCTCTGTTGCCCAGGCTGGAGTGCAGTGGCATGATCTTGGCTCACTGCAACCGCCGCCTCCCAGGTTCAAGCAATTCTCCTGCCTCAACCTCCTGAGTAGCTGAGATTACAGGCGCATGTCACCACGCCCGGCTGATTTTTGTATTTTTAGTAGAGACGGAGTTAGTCAGGCTGATCTCGAACTCCTGACCTCATGATCCATGCGCCTCGGCCTCCCGAAGTGCTGGGATTACAGGTGTGAGACACCACGCCCAGCCCCAAAGAAGGTATTTTTATAATCATCAATCAGGTAGATAATCTGGCCCAATTCTCTCATCTAAAAAAGAAGAAACAGAGAAGAGAAAATGAGTTAGAGAAGAGCTATAAACTTCATGAGAGTAAAGACTACTGTTGTCTTGTTCACATTCATTAGATGGATGAAGGGAGGTTAAGGTCAAGCTTTCCCTAGACTCCTACTTATCCTTTTTTTTTTTTTTTTTTTTTTTTTTTGAGACAGAGTTTCGCTCTTGTTACCCAGGCCGCAGTGCAATGGCGTGATCTCAGCTCACCGCAACCTCAGCCTCCCGGGTTCAAGCATTCTCCTGCCTCAGCCTCCCAAGTAGCTGGGATTACAGGCATGTGCCACCACGCCTAGCTAATTTATTTTTTATTTTTATTTATTTATTTTTGAGACAGTTTCTCTCTTGTTGACCAGGCTGGAGTGCAATGGCGTGATCTCAGCTCACTGCACCCCCTGCCTCTCAGGTTCAAGCGATTCTCCTGCCTCAGCCTCCCGAGTAGCTGGGATTACAGATATGCGCCACCATGCCCAGCTAATTTTTCATATTTTTTTTTTAGTAGAGATGGGGTTTCTCCATGTTGGTCAAGCTGGTCTCGAATTCCCAACCTCAGGTGATCTGCCCGCCTCGGCCTCCCAAAGTGCTGGGATTACAGGTGTGAGCCACCGCGCCTGGCCTGCTCTTTTCTACTGCATTGCACCACATTGCCAAAAGTGCAGTTATTAAGCCCATTCAACAATATGTTGCTAACGAAAAAAACAAACTAAAATATTTTTAAAAGGTTTATTCTGAGCCAAGATGAGTGACCATAGCTTGGGGAAACACAGCCTCAAGAGGTCCTAGGAAACTGTGCCTGAGGTGGTCAAGTTATAATTTGGGTTTTCTTTTTTTTTTTTTTGTTTTGAGACGGAGTCTCGCTTTGTCACCAGGCTGGAGTGCAGTTGCGCAATCTCGGCTCACTGCAACCTCCGCCTCCCGGGTTCAAGCCAATTCTCCTGTCTCAGCCTCCTGAGTAGCTGCGATTACAGTCGCGTGCCACCGCACCCGGCTGATTTTTGTATTTTTAGTAGAGACGGGGTTTCCCCATGTTGGCCAGGCTGGTCTCGAACTCCGGACCTCAGGTGATCCACCCACTTCGGCCTCCCAAAGTGTTGGGATTACAGGCGTGAGCCACCGCGCCCAGCCAGAACACTGACACTTCTCATAACAAATGAACGCGATTTATGTATATCTAAGCCAGGGCACATTGGACGTCGGTATCCTGGACATCAGCATCCTGGACACAGCTCCCAAACCCCGAATTCCCCCATTTTATTGATGCTAGCAGGCCAGGGAAGGGAAAACTTCCTTTGGGCTTTGAATAATAACGACTTTAGAATTGAAATCGTGGGCTGGAGGTGGACGCCACGCCTCATTCTGATGGGTCCAAGAGCCGAAATTTCGGCTTCTGGCACTCTCCTCACTCAGCTCTCTAAACTCCTCCATCATTCCTCTTTCCAGTCCTTTGGCCCTAAGCCCTTGCTAGCGGTTGGCTAAGAAGAAACCCGTCTCTTGCTCGGGATTCGCTGTGAGCTCCGGGAAGCCCGCCTCCGCTCTCCCGTGATTCGCTACTCCTGTGTTCATCCGCCCCTCCGTCGACCAGATTGGGTGCTTGGCCGTCCCTGCCATTAGCGCGTAACGAGAGACTGCTTGCTGCGGCAGAGACGCCAGAGGTGCAGCTCCAGCAGCAATGGCAGTGACGGCGTTGGCGGCGCGGACGTGGCTTGGCGTGTGGGGCGTGAGGACCATGCAAGCCCGAGGCTTCGGCTCGGATCAGGTACGCTGCGGCAGTGTCCGCTGCTCCAGCCCCGCGGGCGGATCCCATCTTTGCTTCCGTACCTTTACCAGTGTCCCTGTCTCTCTGCAGTCCGAGAATGTCGACCGGGGCGCGGGCTCCATCCGGGAAGCCGGTGGGGCCTTCGGAAAGAGAGAGCAGGCTGAAGAGGAACGATATTTCCGGTGAGGCTCACCGGGTCCCAAGTCCAGCCCTGGATCTCCCAATGGCCTTCCAATCCTTAAACTGCCAATCGCCCCACCCGTTCCTACCTGGTGCCTTGGGCGCCCCATCCCCCAACAGAACTCCCGGGCCCCAATCCAGTATACCCTAACCCTTGATGTCCCGACCGTTGCCACGTATAGGGCACTCCCAGTTACCTGCACAACAGTTTCAGGCCCCCAAACCGTTTCCACCGGCGGGTCTCCAAAACAACCCACGGCTCAACTCCTCCTTTATCATTACCATCTCCCGCGTGGAGTTCTCCTCAGGTCGTGCGAAACACCCCCAGATTCTTCGCACAGTGTCTAGATCCGACCGCCCAACGTTTGCCTCCCAGCCTGACTCCCTCGGCCCTTACCCACCTGTCACCCCCTCTACGCTCTCCTTCCTCGCCAGCACGCCTTAGCTTTGCAAGCCTGCATGCATTCAGGCTTCTCAGGTGTTTCTAGACCCCCGACTCCGCAAGAGTGAGGATGATGGGAGCTGGTCATGGGAGCTACTTATGGTTGGACACCATCTTCTAAAGGCTTTTGCCCTACTCAGCCCAACCTAGACCTGTAGATTTCCCTCTCCTGCTTAGGAGTATGGAGTGGGCTGGGCCTCCCTTTGCCAGCCTTGAGTTATCTTTAACTGACTTCTGTCCACTCTGGAGAGCAGTGAGGAATTAATCTTGCTTTTGCTTGTCCTTTGGCCTTTCACTTCTGCCTTCTGTTGAGAATTATCACCATGACACCTGCCATACCGTATAGAGAGCCAAGGTACAGCCGTTAGAGACTATCTAATTGAGCCCCTACATTTTGTAGTTAAGGAAAACTGAGGCCTAAATGTGACCAAACCAACATTGTAATCCAGTCCCTTCTTGGAACCTAAATTGAACTGCCAAGTACTGCGCATGCAAGAGACCCTTTATTGGCCTTACAGTGGGCCATTCATTTCTATAGGCAAAGAAAGCTCTAGACAGATTGGAATAGGAAATGGATATTTGCCTTTTAGCTACACCCCTTTGTCTGTCTTCCTCATTTTGTTCCTTTTTTTTTCCCTAAAGGGGAGTCAAGTTCCCTGGGTTGTTCCCCTCATAAGGTATTAGGGACTTGTGTCACATCTCTCTGGAGTTTTCTATTTTAAAGAGGAATCTGAAAGCAATAAGCTCTTTGGTCTTCTTAAGATGGCTACACCTCAATTTAAGATGGGGTATTCTTTCACTAGTTGAGGAGTAGAAGAGGATGACCAGCTAGACTCCCATGGAATTGGAACTCCTATTCCTTGCTTAGACATTACAGGTTATGCTTTGAGATCTCTTTGGGGTGAAGGATTGAAATTAAACCCTGAGCCACCGTGTCCTTGTAGAGCACAGAGTAGAGAACAACTGGCAGCTTTGAAAAAACACCATGAAGAAGAAATCGTTCATCATAAGAAGGAGATTGAGCGTCTGCAGAAAGAAATTGAGCGCCATAAGCAGAAGATCAAAATGCTAAAACATGATGATTAAGTGCACACCGTGTGCCATAGAATGGCACATGTCATTGCCCACTTCTGTGTAGACATGGTTCTGGTTTAACTAATATTTGTCTGTGTGCTACTAACAGATTATAATAAATTGTCATCAGTGAACTGTGTTTGATGCCTTCTTCTATCTGGAAGAGATAGACAGACACCAATGGACTGCTAAAATGGATTAGAGGCGTCCCTGCATCCAGGAACCCACAGACAATGCACAGTGTGATAAGTGCTATGAAACAACACGAGTTGGGGGGATAGGTGTGACACAGACAAAGTACCCCTCCCCGTCTAATTAGAGGTGTTCAGAGAAAGCTTCCTGAAGGATAAATCCCAATCTGAAGCATAAAGATCAGGAGGATCCTGGAGATCCGAAGGAGTCATTGCTTCAAAAGATACAATTAGGCCAGGTGCGGTGGCTCATGCCTGTAATCCCAGCACTTTGGAAGGCCAAGGTGGGTGGATCACCTGAGGTCAGGAGTTCAAGACCAGCCTGGACAACAGTAAAACCCCATCTCTATTAAAAATACAAAAATTAGCCAGGTGTGGTGGCACGCACCTGTAGTCCCAGCTACTCAGGAGGCTGAGGCAGGAAAACCACTTGAACCTGGGAGGTGTAGGTTGCAGTGAGCCGAGACTGTGCCACTGCACTCCAGTCTGGGTGACAGAATGAGACTCTGTCTCAAAAAAAAAAAAAAAAAAGATACAATTGAAAGTACCATCAGTTAAAACAGCATTTTGCATTTTTAAAATGGTTTAGAGGATACTTAATATGAGCTAGTCATCCTTGTTCTAATTTTGTAGATTGAGAGAACTGGAATTAGAAATCATGTGATTTATACAGTCACTCAGCACCTTGGCAGTGAGACTTGTGTCCAGGTTTTTTGACTACTAAACCAAGTCTGTTATTAGCAGAAAATCAGAATTATTTCTTAGGTTATATTTTGCTTTGCCAAGTATTTTGTTTCAAATTAGACTTGAGGGCCTAGTATAACTAAATTATTATACAAACTAGTTGTGTAACTCCTCTAGGCAAAAAAATTTGAGGTGACATTTGGGCCATTAGCAAAACATTTTCAGTTCACCAGTTCAGTAGAGTATTTGCCCAGGATTGTAATGAGTTATTTGTTCTAAGACCCTATCTATCTCACAAGGGCCTGTAGGACCATTGAGTGATAAAAGCTTGGAGAAGTCGCATTGACCTTGTCTGTACAGACAAAACACTAGATAGTTTGACTTGCCCATGAAACTGAACACAGCCAGGTGTGGTATGTGCCTACAGTTCAGCTACTTGGCAGTCTGAGGCAAGACGATTGCTTGAGCCCAGGAGTTCCAGACATGCCTGGGCAGCATTTTGACCCCATCTCTTTAAAAAAAAAAACAAAAAACAAAAAACTAAACTTTGAATTATAATGATTATAATGTTGCTGAATCTCAGCACTGAGGCCTCAGTAGTGCCTATAAATCTTGCAAGTGGCCAGCAACAAAATAACCTGAAAAGATGAAGTTCAAGAAACAATCATACTAAGTCAAATGCCTTTTATTTTAACATTATTAACAGTGCAACACTTGAAAAGTTTAAAAATTGGAAACAAGTATTAGCAAACATCTTTAATTTTGCATATTTGTAACCAAAAAAACAAGGTATACAAAATCCCCTGAATTTGTACATGATGGTGTTTTTTTGACTTATAATCAACAATTGCCTTACTAAGAGTGATGTTCCTGAATTGTTTCCTCAGTAAAGGTGTACCATAGGCTGGGTGCGATGGCTCATGCCTGTAATCCCAGCACTTTGAGAGGCCGAGGCAGGCGGATCATCTGAGGTCAGGAGTTCAAGACCAGCCTGGCTAACATGGCAAAACCCCATCTCTACTAAAAATACAAAAATTAGCCATGTGTGGTGTTGGGCACCTGTAATCCCCGCTACTCGGGAGGCTGAGGCAGGAGAATTACTTGAACCTGGGAGGCAGAGGTTGCAGTGAGCTGAGATTGTGCCACTGTACTCCAGCCTGAGAGACAGAGTGAGACTCCATCTCAACAACAACCAAAAAAAGATTAAATAGGCTAATTTAAATATATCTGAACTTTGTGAAAATGGTAACTCATGGTCTTTTTGTTATGATATACCTGTGGTTAATTTTTCTATCATGCTGCAGTAAAAGCAAGATGTAAATACTGAGTAATATCACAAACATGTTTGAATCCTAAAAGAATTTATGTGACATGAGCCAGTAACCACTGAAAAAACAGCACAGGTCATAGGTGGTTCTTAGAATCAGGATAATTTGGAAAATACTACAGCAGTGGTTCCATGAGCCAGCAGTGTCAGCATCACCTGGGAACTTGTTAGAAATGCAAATTCTCGGCAGGGCGCGGTGGCTCTTGCCTGTAATCCCAGCAATTTGGGAGGCCGAGGTGGGTGGGTCACAAGGTCAGGAGTTCGAGACCAGCCTGGCCAATATGGTAAAACCCCGTCTCTACTAAAAATCCAAAAATTAGCTGAGCATGGTGGCGGGCACCTGTAGTCCCAGCTACTCGGGAGGCTGAGGCAGAAGAATCGCTTGAACCGGGAGGCGGAGGTTGCAGTGAGCCAAGATCGCACCACTGCACTCCAGTCTGGGCAACAGAGCAAGACTCCGTCTAAAAAAAAAAAAAAAAGAAATGTAAATTCTCAGGCCCCACCACAAACCTGCTGAAACGAGGGGTTTGACTCAGCAATCCTTTAACAAGCCCTCCGGTTGATTCTGTCATGTATGCACCAAAGTTTGACGATCATTGTAGTACAGGTAGTTTCTCATGGAATCTGCTGGCATTTTTGGGTAAACACTTTTATAAAGACAGATTATTAGGTATAATAAAAGTAACTATATATGTTTAATATAATTCATAATATGAATGTGACTTTAGAATTTAGAAATAAATGGTTCTTGTATGGAACTTGTTAACATTTGAGAACACAGCATTCCACAGAATACAGTTTGGGAAATACTTCACTTGTATAATATATTTATTGCCTTAGTCAAAATTCTTTTTGTCCTCCGCCTCCCACTGCTTCACTTGACTAGCCTAAAAAAATAAAAAATAAAATCCTTTTTGTTTACATGTAACAGAAACCAGCACTGGCTGTCTAAAGGGGAAGAAAAAGAGTAATTTACTGGAAGAAATAGGGGCTATTGTCTCACAGAATCTCAAGAAGATTTCAGCAAACAAGACTCAGGAAAAAAAGGGACAGCAGTAGCCAGAGGAGTTCTGTGAACTTACAGGAGCAGATCTGTCTAAGCAACTTCTAAACCCTCTGGGTCAGAATCGGGCTGGCTGGGCTGGGCGCAGTGGCTCCCCGCTGTAATCCCAGCACTTTGGGAGGCAAAGGCGGACGGATCACTTGATCCCAGGAGCTTGAGACCAGCCTGGGTAACATGACCAAACCCCATTTCTGCAGAAAATACAAAATAATAATAATAATAATAATAATGGCGGTACAGGCCTGCAGTCCCAGCTACCTGGGAGGCTGAGGTTGAAGTGAGCTGTGATCATGGCACTGTACTCCAGCCTAGGCAACAGAGTGAGACCCTGTTTCCAAAAAAAAAAAGAATCATTGGGGTGCTTTTTTTTATATATTTGAAAGAGTTCTATAGAATTTTATGCAGTGAAGTTATTTAACAATCGCAGAATTAATGGAGCACTTTAAAATTATTTGCTCATTAAATCTCATATTTTTAGCAAATAGATCCATTCCATTAGTTTAATTTTATAACCATAGTAACCGAAGCAGGGAATTGTGAAGTAACTTTCACAAGGTCACATGATCAGGTTTGTGCTGATCAAGGTCTTCACTTCAGAACTCTTGCTCCCACAACCTTGAGTTGCAGTTCCAATCCAGTGCTTCAGTTGCCTATTAGCTAGCTCCCTCCTCAATCTGGGGGAGTGGGAGGTACATGGGTAGCGGGGTATGGGTGGTAAAGGCAAGGGCTCCTGGAAGTAAATATAGAAGTGCCAGCGGTTGGTGTTGGCATTAGCTTTTTGGCTGTAACATAAACCCCGTCAGCATGTCTATGCATGCCTATATGATGCAAACACATGTTTGCAATAGAGGCTAGTTTGAGATTTTCACAACAGTAAGTCTAAAGTTGTAGTTCTCAGGCCGGGCGCAATGCCTCACATGTGTAATACCAGCACTTTGGGAGACCGAGGCAGGCGGATCACCTGAGGTCAGGAGTTTGAGACCAACCTAGCCAATGTGGTGAAACCCCGTCTCTACTAAAAATACAAAAATTAGTCAGGCATGGTGGCGCACACCTGTCCAGCTACTTGGGAGACTGAGGCAAGAGAATCACTTGAACCCAGGAGGCGGAGGTTGCAGTGAGCCGAGATTGCACCACTGCATTCCAGCTTGGGCGACAGAGCCAGACTCCAACTCAAAAACAAGTAAAATAAAATAAAATAATAAAGTTGTAGTTCTTAGCACAGGTGGCACACTGAAATATGTGGAGAGCTTTAAAATCTCTTCCGCAGCTGGGCGTGGTGGCTCACGCCTGTAATCCCAGCACTTAGGGAGGCTGAGGCGGACGGATCACGAGGTCAAGAGATCGAGACCATCCTGGCTAACATGGTGAAACCCCGTCTCTATTAAAAATACAAAAATTAGCCACGCATGGTGGCACGCGCCTGTAGTCCCAGCTACTCGGGAGGCTGAGGCAGGAGAATCGCTTGAACCCGGGAGGTGGAGGTTGCAGTGAGCCAAGATTGTGTCACTGCACTCCAGCCTGGGCAACAGAGCGAGACTCCGTCTCAAAAAAAAAAAAAAAAAAAAAAAAAAGAAAGCAGAAATAGGCCAAAAGCTAGGCCTCTTGCACCAGTCAAGTTGTGAATACAAAGAAAAAGTTCTTGAAGGACATTAAAAATGCTACTCCAGTGAACATACAAATGATAGGAAAGCAAAACAACCTTATTGCTGATATGGAGAAAGTTTGAGTTATCTGGATAGATGATCAAGCAAGCCACAACATTCCCTTAAGGCAAAACCGAATATGGAGAAAAGCCCTAAATCTCTTCAATTCTAAGAAGGCTAAGAGAGGTGAGGAGGCTGCACAAGAAAAGTCTGAAGCTGGCCAGGTGCAGTGGCTCACGCCTGTAATGCCAGTACTTCGGGAGACTGAGGCGGGAGGATCCCTTGAGCTCAGGAGTTCAGTCATCATGCCGCTGCACTCCAGCCTTTATTGGAGTAGCATTTTTAATGCTACACGAATGATAAGAAACCAAAACAGCCTTATTGCTGACAGGAAGAAAGTTTGTGTGATCTCAAACTTTGATAAAAGATCAAATCATCCACAATATTCCCTTAAGCCAAAACCTAATCCTGAGCTCAACGGAAACACCTGCCTCAGTCTCCCAAGGTGTTGGGATGACAGGTGTGAGCCACCACGCCCAGCTCAAAATCTTTAAATTTTTCTTCTTTTTTTTTTTGAGAGGAGTTTCAGTCTTGTTGCCTAAGCGGGAGTGCAATGGCACAATCTCGGCTCACCGCAACCTCACCTTCCAGGTTCAAGTGATTATCCTGCCTCAGCCTCCCAAGTAGCTGGAATTACACCAACACGCCCAGCTAATTTTGTATTTTTAGTGAAGATGGGGTTTCTTCATGTTGGTCAGGCTGTTCTTGAACTCCCGACCTCAAGTGATCCACCCGCCTCGGCCTCCCAAAGTGCTGGGATTACAGGCGTAAGCCACCGTGCCTGGCCTAAAAAAAAAAAATTTTTTTAAGTAGCTGGATTTGATGGCATTCAGATGTAGTCCCAGTTACTCCAGAGGCTGAGGCAGGAGTATCACCTGAGCCCAGAAGTTTGAGGTTACAGTGAACTATGATTGCACAACTGCACACCAGCCTGGGCAACAAAGCAAGAACCTGTCTAAAATAAGAAATAAAAGAACAACAAAGTGACCAGTATAGCTGGAGCAGAGTGAGCAAGCAGGAAAGACACAGGAAATAAGGGGCAAGAGCTGTATGTGAAGTTGCACACACCCTGTAGCAGCAAAATTTCTACTTCTGGACACTCCATTCCATTTGGTTTGATCCAATTGGCTGACTTTGGCCTGGTCTTATCAAGAAAAATAAATGCCTCAAGTTAATGAGTGAACAAGCAAATGTGTTAGTTAGAAAAGGCTGGATAATGACATAAGAAATGCTAGTTGTTAAGTCTCATTCTGCCTGCCTTACACTTTTACCTTGAGGAAGTGTGTGTGTGAGCAAGGGTGAGCAAGAGTGGAAGGAAACAAAGATGAAAGGGGGAAAGCACAAGACTATCAAGGAGCTTTTTTTTTTTTCCTTTTTTTTTTTTGAGACAGAGTCTCACCCTGTCACCCAGGCTGGAGTGCAGTGGCACAATCTCAGCTCACTTCCACCTCCGCCTCCCAGATTCAAGCAATTCTCCTGCCTCAGCCTCCAGAATAGCTGGGACTACAGGCATCTGCCACCACCCCAGCTAATTTTTTTGTATTTTTAGTAGAGACGGGGTTTCACCATGTTGGCCAGGCTGGTCTCGAACCTGGACCTCAAGTGGTCCACCCATCTCGGCCTCCCAAAGTGGTGGGATTACAACTGTGAGCCACCGCACCCAGCCAATCATGAAGCTTTGAATACCATGTTAAGGAATCATGACCCTGTCCAACAGTTTTGAACTCAAGTTGCTACAGGGGCCAGGCAGGTAATGTAAATCATCAAGTCTTCCATTCGTTACTGTTACGGGAAGTGAGAAACCAAGTCTGGTTTGTGGGACCCTCGAATGCAGTCTCAGTGTTACCAGAACTTCCTGTTTTCCAAGGGAAATCATAAATTGGAGATTTTAAAATCTTAGTAAATTCTTCAAACCCAGAAGACTGAATAATATATATTAAGTAAACCAAATTCTGACCCATCGCATGTCCAAGTACAACCAGGACAATGCAAGACAGAAAGAGTTTTGTGCCCGGAAGTGTCTGGGTCAGAGTATTTTTGGATGTCTTTGCTTATCTGAGCTATTTATATTTGCCTCTCTTGTCACCTGTCTGATCCTGGCAGCCAGATTTTGGCCATTACTCAGCTCTGTTCTCACACACACCGACACCCCCACAAGGATAGCACAGGCCCATCTTAGGCATCAATAATGTTCACAGAAACAAACTTTCAAGAGTTTCGGCCAGGCGTGGTGGCTCACGCCTGTAATTCCAGCACTTTGGGAGGCCGAGGCAGGCAGATCACGAGGTCAGGAGATGAAGACCATCCTGGCTAACACGGTGAAACCCTGTCACTACTAAAAATACAAAAAATTAGCCGGGCGTAGTGGCACGTGCCTGTAGTCCCAGCTACTCGAGAGGCTGAGGCAGGAGAATCACTTGAACCTGGGAGGTGGAGGTTGTGGTGAGCCGAGATAGCCCCACTGCACTCCAGCCTGGGCGACAGAGGGAGACTCCATCTCAAAAAAAAAAAAAAAGTTTTACAATTAGCATTAAGAGTCTTTTGTTTTTTGGGTTTTTTGTTTTGTTTTGTTTTGTTTTGAGATGGAGTTTTGCTCTTATTGCCCAGGCTGGAGTGCAATGGCGCGATCTCGGCTCACCGCAACCTCTGCCTCCCGGGTTCAAGCGATTCTCCTGCCTCAGCCTCCCGAGTAGCTGGGATTACAGGCATGTGCCACCACGTCCGGCTAATTTTGTACTTTTAGTAGAGACGGGGTTTCCCCATGTTGGTCAGGCTGGTTTCAAACTCCTGACCTCAGGTGATCCGCCCACCTCAGCCTCCCAAAGTGCTGGGATTACAGGCATGAGCCACCGTGCCTGGCCCAAGAGTGTTAAAGTCTGGTGCAGTGGCCTGTAGTCCCAGCTACCCCAGAGGCTGAAGCAGGAGGATCATGTGAGCCCAGGAGTTTGAGACCAACCTGGGCAACACAGCAATACTCCCTCTCTTAAAAAAAAAAAAGCCTTAAATTTATTTGTTCATAGTCTTCAACTCACGAATTTTTCTAGGAATTTAATTAATCAGGAATATAATTATTTAAGAGTTTTATCTCATCTTGAAATATGTGAAAAATTGGGAAGAAAACCCTAAATGTTCTCAATAAGGATTAATAAATTATAGCATACATGAATAGTCTGCAACCATTAACAATTATATTTAAGGAATATTTAATATTACAAAAATTATGAAATGTGCTAAGTGGAAAAAGCAGGCTATATAGCTATACATTATTAATACGGTATATAAACTTATATGCTATAAAAATAACCAACATGTTGGTTTCTCTTTGTAGTGCAATTGGGATTTGAGGGAGTTCTCCCTTCTCTGTTTAAAAGGATCTCTTTAAAAAACAACAAATGTAATACAACTTAGCACATAGATAGATATTAAATAAGTGTATTATATAAAGAATCTTAAAACTTCTCCCTTCTCCGTCCACCCCAGAGCTAACCAATGGTAACAGGTGCAAACTACACATCTTTCCAGATCTTTGTTTCCTCTGTGTAACTATGTATACAACTATGAGACTGTTCTATATGTATCATTGCGCAACCTCGGTTTTTGCTTCGTTCTGTTTTAACCTAACAGGAAATCCTGCATACCTTTCCATTTCAGAGCACTTGGAGCTACCTTCTGTTTCTTTGCTGTAGAAGCCGTTGTGTGAACAAATCCGTTTATTTCTCTCATCAGTCTCCTTTGATAGACATTTGGGTCACGTCCGGTTTTACGCTTTTACAATACATCAGTGAACAGCAGTAATACGAGCTCAAGACAGAAGGCCTGAAAAACATTGAAAAACACAGAGACGGAAAAAAAAAAACCACAGAGGGGGAAATATAATTTCGGGTTATTTCAGTTTCACCTTTACACTTTGTTATATTCCACATTTTTTGCAATAAATATAAATTTGGAAGTAAAAGCATAAAACGAAAATCAAACGATTGATTGATTGATTGATTGACTGAGACGGAGTATCACTCTCGTCGTCCAGGCTGGAGTGTAGTGGCGCGTTCTCGGCTCACTGCAACCTCCGTCTCCCGGATTCAAGCGATTCTCCTGCCTCAGCCTCCCGAGTAGCTGGGATTACAGGCGCCCGCCACCACGCCCGGCAAATTTCCAAACGTATATTTAAAAGAAGAAAAGGAAAAGAGGGGAAAAAAAGAAAGAAAGAAAGAAAGAAAGAAATTAGAAGCAGATGGGGCAGTTCAGCCTCTTCTCGCGGAGCGGGGCTAGACGGAGTCAGGGGCGGACCGCCACAGCCTGCACCAATCAGGACCCGGTTGATAGGCAGAGCCTGGCGACTTCGAAGACTCGCCCCCAGTCAAAGAGCCCCGGGGATTCGTTTCCGTACGCAGCCTGGAAACCAGCCTGGGCCTATCCTGCGCGCCGCTGCGGGCTACTATTGGCTGCCAAGAAACCCCGCCCATCTTCCTGCTCATTGGCCGGTGCGGTTTACGTAAGAGGAGCCTGTTGCTGAGCGAAAAGTCTGTTCTGCAATTTTCGCTAAGGAGTTGTTAACGCTGAAACCGCACTGGGCGTCCTGGGGTCAAAAAAACAATACTAGCCACAGTTTATTAAACTGCAACTAAATGCCAGGCTATGTGCGCCAAACTTTTAATATTAATGGTTGTAGGCACCTTTCTTGAACACCCACCACTATCAGCCAGTCACTGAGCCAGATCCTTCAAAATAACAGTAAAAATATAGATAATCTACAGTTTATTGAGCACTTCATCTGCATCAAGCCTTGTTAAGGGGTTTCCATGCATAAGCTCTCATTCTCACAATAGAACGGTGGAGGTAAACTATTGCCCCATTTAACATTTAACATGCAGTCCTGTAGACCCAGCTACTCGGAAGGCTGAGGTGAGAGGACCCAGGAGCTCCAAACTTAAGTGAGCTATGATCGCGCCACTGCACTCCAGCCTGGGCAACAGAACGAGACCTGTCTCAGAAAAACAAAAACGTAATAAAAGAAAAACAAAAACAAAAAAACAGGAAACGGGTTCAGAGAAGTGAAGTGTTTTGCTGAGGTTCACAAAGAAAGGGTTGGAACTGGAACCTTCAACTCCGATATCCTGATTCCAAGTGTGGCCTTTTTAGGGAGGGGGTCGGGGTACAGAATTCCGCTGGGGATAGGGAAAGGTAGGACAGGATGGTGGGAGGCCAGAGGCGTTGCTCCAGGGACAAGCCTCAGGGTGGTTCTCTGAGAATAGGATGTATAGAGCCTCTAGGAGTGGAGGGTTGGGGAAGGAAGGGAGACCAGAGGAAAGGGAGAAGTTGTTCTTTCTGAAAATGTGAGGCTTCTCTCCTGGGGCAGCCTATTAAGGTGTAGGTAGCCCTGGACCTCGAGATTCTAGTCTCCACTCTGTGGCCAACTTCCTAGGGAACCTTGGGCAAATTCCTCTCTCTCGACCTGAGGCTTCCTGCCTTGTAAGAGAGGTAGTAAGCCAAAACAATGGAAAGTGCATTCGGGCTGTGAAGTATTTTAGGACTCTGGTCCTTGCTGGCAGCAGGGGGAATCTTCAGCAACCACAGACCTTTACTTAGCTGTTGCCTGGCCTCTTTTCAAGACCTTCAGGCGGTGACATGGACCCTAACAATCCTATAAACTCAAAACGGTTTGGGCCAGCCCTTTCCTACTCCATTCTGACTTAGCTATAGCAGGATCTGGCCTGCAGGGGGCGTTGAGGAACCACTCAGCCGACAAAACTAAACTAAATCAACCAAGCAATTTGCCCAAAAGCACCCAGTGCGTTAGTTTTTGCATTTAAGAAGGGTAAACGTTTCCAAACCTGAAGATTTCTGTCCTCAGTATGCAATCGAGAAGACGAATTATATACACTGCCAGTTCTTTATGGCACCAGTTCTCTCCATAATGACTCTGCAAGTTTAGAGCTAATTTCTATTTCTTTGTTTTACAGATAGGGAAACAGATTCAAAGAGCTGGAAAAAAAAAATTCAGTTTGGGTTACTTGGCTAAAAGCTGGCACCCGAATTGCCTGACTCCTGGGAAGTGCTCTTAGGAGATAGTTGGCTTTGTTTCTGGGAGTCTGTGGTTGTACTGCCTGCTAATGCACAACTCCAAAGGACAATTTTGGTTGTGTAGCTTGACAGCTCGGCACCTGTCAGCTCTGTGCAGGAAGGACCTCCCTCCCCACCTAGCACAATGCCTGCTTCATGAGTAATTGAATTAATGTGTGACTAAGCCTTGAAGGATGGGTCTTCTTTGGCTTTATCAAACCAATTGGAGTGGAACTTCTTTCCTGAAAGTTCCCCCTGGGCAGGAATTGTATCTGAGATTAGTGGGTGGGGAGGGGGGAAACAATAAGAAGAGCTCAGAAAATGACATCTGGGGTGATAAATCACAGCCCCCCGAATGGTCCCATTACAAGGTCATTATAGTAAAGTGATCTCAGAATTTGAGACTAGAAAACTAATTCAGGAAGAATGAATACAGAACAGATGACAATCATATTAGGGTCATAATCTGAAATGGATCTAAGGCTGAAGACATCTCAAAAACATTTCAAATCCAGTCTAGGTAGGTGTATCTTTGGGACTGGAAGGTGATTGAGGAATATAAATAGCTGGCCAATCAGTGGCCTCAACATAGCTGATGCAAGAGTTGAGAGTGTGGCAACAGAAGAAGGAGATCTTTACCCAACCAAAAATACAAGGCAGTGGGGAGGGGAGGAATGTGCCCAGCCAGTGGCACCCTGCCATGCCCTGCTAGGCTGCTAGCTTCACCACTGGATTTCCCAGAGCCAGGCACAGTGCCTGGTACACACAAGATGGTAAATAAATATTTATTGAATGAAAAAAGGAAGGAAGGAACTGGAGCCCTGACCAGCAGATAGTTGCTGAGTAGAGCAGTTCAATAATTCGTCCTTTCACTTGCTCAGATTCCAGCTGCCTTAGCCACCTTCAGATGATAAATTTGCCTTTCAGTAAAGGCTCTCCTACAAAGAGGAATGCCCTGGCCTCTCAATTACAGGTCGCTTGACAGTTATGTTTCTCACTTCCAATTAATATATCTGCTTTAAGCATCAGTTCCTTTTGCCAGCCGGCTTCTTACATATTCATGTGTTTGTCTCATCAATGGAGTGGTGGAGTTTCTGCATAGGAGTCATTCCTGCCTGGGTTGGAATCCTTACTCAGCATATTACTAACCTATCTGACCTTGGTCCAGACGTGTTACCTCTTGAGTCTCAGTTTTCTCATCAGTCAAATGGAGACACAATAGCCTGTTTCACAACGTTGTGGTGAGAGTTACCTGAGACAGTGATGTATCCTGAATTCTTGCTGGAGCTCAGTAACTCTTAATGTCTGTGCTTCTTCCTGGCTTTTCTTTTTTGGAGACCAGGTCACAAAAGATAATATCAAGGCTGGGCGTGGTGGCTCACACCTGTAATCCCAGCACTTTGGGAGGCCGAGATGGGCAGATTGCTTGAGCTCAGGAGTTCAATAACAGCCTGGGCAACGTGGTGAACCGCCCCACCCCCCACCCCCCACCTCGTCTCTACAAAAAATACAAAAATTAGCCAGGTGTGGTGGTGTGCACCTATAGTCCCAGCTGCTTGGGAGGCTGAGGTGGGAGAATCACCTGAGCCTGGGAGGTTGAGGCTGCAGTAAACAGTGATTGTGCTACTGTACTCCAGCCTGGGAGACAGACTGAGACCCTGTGTTAAAAAAAAAAAAAAAAAAAGGCCGGCGCGGTGGCTCACACCTGTAATCCCAGCACTTTGGGAGGCTGAGGCGAGTGGATTACCTGAGGTCAGGAGTTCAAGACCAGCCTGGCCAACATGGTGAAACCCCGTCTCCACTAAAAATACAAAAATCAGCTGGGCGTGGTGGCATGTGCCTGTAGTCCCAGCTACTCAGGAGGCTGAGATAGGAGAATTGCTTGAATCCAGGAAGCAGTGGTTACAGTGAGCCAAGATTGCGCCACTGCACTCCAGCCTGGGCGACAGAGCAAGACTCTGTCTCAAAAAAAAAAAAAAAAGAATTTTGGGTCAGGTTCAGTGGCTCACACCTGTAATCCCAGCACTTTAGGAAGTTGAGACTGGGAATTTGAGACCAGCCTGGTTAACATACTGAGACCCGTCTCTGCAAAAAATAAAAAGAAATTGGCCGGACAGCATAGTGCACACCTGTAGTCCTAGCTACTTGGGAGGATAGTTTGAGCCCAAGAGTTTGAGGTTACAGTCAGCTATAATCACATCACTGCACTCCAGCCTGGGTGACAGAGTGAGTAGAGGGAGACTGTCTCAAAAAAGAAAAAAAAAATTCTAAGAATTTTTTGCTTTTTCTTCTCACAAAGTTACTATGTAAATGAAGCTTTGGGAATGATTTAGTGACTGCCTTAAAGATTCTAAGGAGTTATTCAACAGAGGAGAGTAACTCATACACATTCATTCAAAAATATTCACTAAGGACTCACTACAGGCATATCTTGTTTTTTTGTCTTTTTGTTTTGAGACGGAGTCTTGCTCTGTCGCCAGGCTGGAGTGCAGTGGCGCAATCTTGGCTCACTGCAACCTCAGACTCCCTGGTTCAAGGGATTCTCCTGCCTCAGCCTTCTGAGTAGCTGGGATTACAGGGATACGCCACCACGCCCAGCTAATTTTTTTTTTTGTATTTTTAGTAGAGACGGGGTTCACCATGTTGGCCAGGATGGTCTTGATCTCGACCTCGTGAACCACCCGTCTCGGCCGGCCTCACAAAGTCCCGGGATTACAGGCGTGAGCCACCGTGCCCGGCCGGCATATCTTGTTTTATTGTGCTGCACTTTACTGTGCTTTGTAGATAATGCATTTTTTTGTTTTTTTGTTTTTTTGAGACAGAGTCTTGCTCTGTCGCCCAGACTGGAATGCATTGCTCAAGCAATCAATCAAGCCCGACCCACTTTATTTATTTATTTATTTATTTTAGACAGAGTTTCGCTGTGTCACTCAGGCTGGAGTGCCTTGCTCAAGCAATCCTCCTGCCTCAGCTTTCCAAGTAGCTGGGATTACAGGCATGCACCACCAAGCCCAGCTAATTTTCTATTTTTTTTTTTTTTGAGTTGGAGTCTCACTCTGTCCCCCAGGGTGGAGTGCGATGGCGCGATCTTTGGCTCACTGCAACCTCTGCCTCCCGGGTTCAAGCAATTCTCCTGCCTCAGCCTCCCTGAGTAGCGGGGATTACAGGTGCCCACCACCACGCCGAGCTAATTTTTGTATTTTCAGTAGAGACGGGGTTTCATCATATTGGCCAGGCTGGTCTCTTGGCCAGGCTGGTCTTGAACTCCTGTCTTCATGATCCACCCGCCTCAGCCTCCCAAAGTGCTGGGATTACAAGCGTGAGCCACTGCGCCCAGCCAATTTTCTTATTTTTTGTAGAGACAGAGTCTCGCTATGTTGCCCAGGCTGGTCTCAAACTCCTGGGCTCAAGCGGTTCTCTTGCCATGGCCCCCCAAAGTGCTGGGATTGTAGGCATGAGCCGCTAAGCCCAGCTGCATGTCTTTCATTTTAAATCAAAAGCTAGAAATCATTAAGCTTAGTGAAGAACATGTGCCAAAAGCCAAGATAGGCCAAAAGCTAGGTCTCTTGAGCCAAATAGCCAAGTTGTGAATGCAAAGGAAACATTCTTTTTTTTTTTTTTTGAGACAGTCTTGCTCTGTCTCCCAGGCTGGAGTGCAGTGGCCTGATCTCGGCTCACTACAACCTCCACCTCCCAGGTTCAAGCGATTCTCCTGCCTCAGCCTCCCGAGTAGCTGGGACTACAGGTGTCCACCACCATGCCTGGCTAATTTTTGTATTTTTAGGAGAGACGGGGTGTCACCATATTGGCCAGGCTGGTCTCGAACTCCTGACCTTGTGATCCGCCCACCTCGGCCTCCCAAAGTGCTAGGATTACAGGTGTGAGCCACCACGCCCGGCCAGGAAACATTCTTTTTTTTTTTTTTTTTTTTGAGACGGAGTCTCGCTCTGTCGCCCAGGCCGGACTGCGGACTGCAGTGGCGCAATCTCGGCTCACTGCAAGCTCCACTTCCCGGGTTCACGCCATTCTCCTGCCTCAGCCTCCCGAGTAGCTGGGACTACAGGCGCCCGCCACCGCGCCCGGCTAATTTTTTGTATTTTTAGTAGAGACGGGGTTTCACCTTGTTAGCCAGGATGGTCTCGATCTCCTGACCTCATGATCCACCCGCCTCGGCCTCCCAAAGTGCTGGGATTACAGGCGTGAGCCACTGCGCCCGGCCGAAACATTCTTAAAGAAAAATTTTAAATGCTACTCCAATAAATACATGAATGATAAGAAAGCAAACAGCCTTATTGCTGATAGGAAGAAAGTTTGAGTGGTCTCAGACTTTGATAGAAGATCAAACCGTCCACAATATTCCCTTAATCCAAAACCTAATCCAGAGCAAGGCCCTAACTCTCTTCAATTCTAGGAAAGCTGAGAGACGTGAGGAAGCTGCTGTAGAAAAGCTTAAACCTAGCATAGTTTGCTTCATGAGGTTGAAAGAAAGAAGCCTTCTCAATAACAGAAAAATACAAGGTGAAGCAGCCCATGCTGATGGAGAAGCTGCTGCAGTGAGTTATCCAGAAGATCTAGCTAAGATAACTGATGAAGGTAGATACACTAAACAACAGATTTTTCCATGTAGACAAACAGCCTTGTAATGGAAGAAGATGCCATCTAAGACTTTCATAGCTAAAGAGAAGCCAGGTTGGGAGCAGTGGCTCATGCCTGTAATCCCAGGACTTTGGGAGGCTGAGGCGGGCAGATCACGAGGTCAAGAGATTGAGACCATCCTGGCCAACATAGTGAAACCCCATCTCTACTAAAAATACAAAAAATTAGCTGAGCGTGTGGCATGTGCCTGTAGTCCCATCTACTAGGGAGGGTGAGGCAGGAGAATCACTTGAACCCAGGAGGTGGAGGTTGCAGTGAGCCGAGATTGTGCCACTGCACTCCAGCCTGGGTGACAGAGGGAAACTCCATCTCAAAAAAAAAAAAAAAGAGACAGAAGCCAATACCTGGTTTCCAAGTTTCAAAGCACAGGTTGACTCTCTTGTTAGGGGCTAATGCAGCTGGTGACTATAAGTTTAAGCCAGTGCTCATTGACTATTCTGAAAATCCTAGGGCCTTTAAGAATTATGCTAAATTTACTCTACCTGTGCTCTATAAATGGAACAGGCCGGGAGTGGTGGCTCATGCCTGTAATCCCAGCACTTTGGGAGGCCGATGCAGTGGATCACTTGAGGTCAGGAGTTCAAGACCAGCCTGGCCAACATGGCGAAACCCCGTCTCTACTAAAAATACAAAAATTAGCCAGGCGTGGTGGTGCGCACCTATAATCCCAGCTACATGGGGGGCTGAGGCAGGAGAATCGCTTGAACCTGGGAGGCAGAGGCTACAGTGAGCCAAGATCATGCCATTACACTCCAGCTTGGGCAACAGAGTGAGACTCCGCCTCAAAAAACAAACAAAAAATGTGATCCATAGAAGGAGGCAAAAAAATCAACATAAACAGGAGTTTGAAAGAAGCTCATTTCACTCTCATGGATGACTTTGAGGTGGTTCAAGACTTCAATGTAGGAAGTAACTGTAGGTGTGTTCGAAATAGCAAGAGAACAGCCTGTCCAACATAGCGAAACCCCATCTCTACTAAAAATATAAAAATTAGCCAGGCATGGTGGCACATCCCTGTAATCCCAGCTACTTGGGAGGCTAAGGCAGGAGAATCACTTGTACCCGGGAGGCAGGGGTTGCAGTGAGCCGAGATCTCACCACTGCACTCCAGCCTGGGCGTCAGAGCAAGACTCTGTCTTCAAAAAGAAAAAAAGAAATAACAAGAGAAGTAGAATTAGAAATAAAGCCTGAATATGTGACTGAATTGTTGCAATCTCAGGATAAAACTCGAATGGATGAGGAGTTGCTTCTTCTTTTTATTCTTTTTTTCTTTATTCTTTTGTTTTGTTTTGTTTTGTTTGAGATGGAGTTTCGCTCTTGTTTCCCAGGCTGGAGTGCAGTAGCGCAATCTCAGCTCACTGCAACGTCCACCTCTTGGGTTCAAGCGATTCTCCTGCCTCAACCTCCCAAGTAGCTGGGATTACAGGCACCCACCACCATGCCTGGCTAATTTTTTGCATTTTAGGTAGAGATGGGGTTTCACCATCTTGGCCAGGCTGGTCTTGAACTTCTGTCCTCGTGATCCATCCACCTCAGCCTCCCAAAGAGCTGGGATTACAGGCGTGAGCCACTGCGCCTGGCCAATTTTTGTATTTTTAGTAGAGACGGGGTTTCCCCATGTTGGCCCAGGCTGACTTTTCTTTTTTTGTTTCTTTAAGGAGTTGCTTCTTATGGCTGAGCAAAGAAAGTGGTTTCTTGAGATGGAATCTACTCCTGTGAAGATGCTATGATCATTGTTGAAATGACAACAAAGGATTTAGAATATTACATAAGCTTAGTTGACAAAGCAGCAGCAGGGTTTGAGAAGATTGACTCCAATTTTGAAAGAAGTTCTGCTGTAGGTAACATGTTACCAAACAGTATCACATGCTACAGAGAAATCTTTCATGGAAGGAAGAGTGGATCCTTGTGGCCAACTTTATTATTGTCTTATTTTAAGAAATTGGCACAGCCGGCTGGGCACCGTGGCTCACACCTATAATCCCAGCACTTTGGGAGGCTGAGGCTGGTGGATCACCTGAGGTCGGGAGTCCAAGACCAGCCTAACAAACATGGAGAAACCCCATCTCTACTAAAAATAAAAAATTAGCCGGGCGTGGTGGTGCTACTCGGGAGGCAGAGGCAGGAGAATTGCTTGCACCTAGGAGACGGAGGTTGCCGTGAGCCGAAATCACACCATTGCACTCCAACCTGGGCAACAAGAAGGACACTTCGTCTCACAAAAAACAAACAAACAAAAAAAAAGTGCTCTAACACAGCCTTGTGCAGTCAAAAGAAGATACTGTGTGACCCTGATAAGCAATTTTTGTTTTTATTTTTATTTTTATTTTTGATTCAGTGGCACAATCTGCAACCTCCATCTCCCAGGTTCAAGCTATTCCCTTGCCTCAGCCTGCCGAGTAGCTGGGATTACAGGCTCTCGCACCACACCCGGCTAATTTTTATGTTTTTGGTAGAGATGGGATTTTACCATGTTGGCCAGCCTCCCAAGTACATGAGATTATAGGTACATGCCACCACACCCTGCTGATTTTTGTAGTTTTTGTGAATACAGGGTTTCTCCATGTTGACCAGGCTGGTCTCGAACTCTTGGGCTCAAGGGATCCTCCCTTTTGGCCTCCCCAGATGCTGGGATTACAGATGTTAGCCACCAAGCCTGGCCAATTTTACCTTTCTGAGCTCAAGTTTTCTCACTTTGTACACGTGGTCAATGAGAGATTTTTATCATCAGTTGGAGGGAAGTGGTGAGATATATACACATGATATCAAGCATACACCAAGTTTGGAGATCAGTGGTAGAAAGAGATAAAAAGAATGTGTTGAAGATGTTGAGGACTGGGTGAGATTACTTTCAGCTGAGCTTTTTGGAGGAGGTGTCATTTAAAGTCTTGCTTCAGGCCACAAACAGGAATGAAGGCATTGAATGATGGATACTATTTCAATGGGTAGAGATTTGCAAGAAGAGTACTGAAAGAAAGATTTGAAGGCCAAACAAGAAACATGGATGTTGCAGGTGGTAAGAATGGGAGGGTAAATTAGGTGCATCTTGGCAAACCTTGAATGTTAAGATAGGAGTTTGATTTTTTTTTTTTTTTTTTTTGAGACAGGGTTTCGCTCTGACACCCAGATCGTGCAGTGGCACGATCTCAGCTCACTGCAACCTCTGCCTCCCGGGTTCAAGCGATTCTCCTGCCTCAGCTTTTCGAGTAGTTGGGACTACAGGCGTGCACCACCACGCTTGGCTAATTTTTGTATATTTAGTAGAGATGGGGTTTCACGATGTTGGCCAGGATGATCTTGAACTCCTGACCTCAGGTGATCTGCCTGCCTTTGCCTCCCAAAGTGCTGGGATCACAGGCGTGAGCCACCATGCCCACCCAAGGAGTTTGATCTTAATTCTGTAGCTGATGAAATACCAGTGAAGCCTTTTGATCTGGACTTTGACATTACATAGTAAATTTTTTTTTTTTTTTGAGACAGAATCTCACTCTGTCACCCAGGCTAGAGTGCAGTGGCACGATCTCGGCTCACTGCAAGCTCTGCCTCCTGGGTTCACGCCATTCTCCTGCCTCAGCCTCCCAAGTAGCTGGGACTACAGGCACCCGCCACCACGCCTGGCTAATTTTTTGTATTTTTAGTAGAGACGGGGTTTCACCATGTTAGCCAGGATGGTCTTGATCTGACCTCGTGATCCGCCCACCTCGGCCTCCCAAAGTGCTGGGATTACAGGCGTGAGCCACCACGCCTGGCCACATAGTAAATTTTTTAAATGAAAGCTGAAGCTGACACAGGGTAGTTTAGAGAGGAAGTTGATGCAAAGGAAGATTCCGTGACCAAGGGCATATGATTGTCAGGACATTTTGCTAGGTGACATAGAGCAGGAGATGGATGTCAAGATGTAGACCCTGCCAGCCAGGCGCGGTGGCTCATGCCTATAATGCCAGCACTTTGGGAGGCTGAGGCGGGCAGAGCACAAGGTCAGGAGTTCGAGACCAGCCTGATCAACATGGTGAAACCCTGTCTCCACTAAAAATACAAAAATTAGCCGGGTGTGGTGGCACTTGCCTGTAATCCCAGCTACTCAGGAGGCTGAGGCAGGAGAATTGCTTGAACCTGGGAGGCAGAGGTTGCAGTGAGCCAAGATCGGGCCACTGCACTCCAGCCTGGGAGACAGAGTGCGACTCTGTTTAAAAAAAAAAAAAAAAAAAAAAAAAAGATGTTGACCCTGCCCTCAAGGAGTTTACAATTAAAAAGATCAGATAAGCCAGACTCAGTGGTGCACACCTGTAACCCCAGTGATTGATTTGGGGGGCTGAGGAGGGAATATCGCTTGAGCCCAGGAATTTGAAGCTGCAGCGTGCTATGATCATGCCACTGTACTCCAGTCTGGGTGACAGAGCTAGACCCCATCTCTAAAAAACAATACTAATAAAAAGAAAAAAGGGTCAGATAAAACATGTACATAGAAAATTACAATACAAGGCAGAATGTGGCTGGACATGGTGGCTCATGCCTATAATCCTAGCACTTTGGGAGGCTGAGGTGAGAGAATCGCTTGAGCTCAGGAGTTTGAGACCAGCCTGGGCAACATATTGAGACCCTGTCTCTATTTACTAAAAAACAAAAAACAAAAACAAAAAAACAGAAAACAAAAAAACAAAAAACAAAAAAAACTAGGTAGAATGTGATACATGTGAAAAGAGATCCAGCTCAAGTGCCTTGGGAGCTCAGGGGAGGGTGAGATTAATCTCTTTTTCCCAAGAATCTGGAGGCAGGAAACCAAGTCGGTTTCATCTTTGGAATTGTAAGCTTAGACTTAGAAGTCTCAGAGGGGGACTTGGGGGTCTTATCCACCCTCACCCCTGGCAGGATTCCCTGTCTAGAATAAACAATAACTTTAAAATGGAAACAAAAAAAGGAGCTCTGAAGGAAAACTGTGAAGGAAGAGGCTCCGTTTGAAATGAATAGAAAATGAATTTAGCTTGGAGGTGCTGAGGTGTTGGTAGAGGCAACTTTCTGGCAAGAGGCGAGTTGAAGGCCAGGAAGTGAATGAGATCAGGGAGAGTGTCTGGAGGGAAGAGGGGCAAAAACAAACTGGGGAAGCACCCACGTTTTAGGAAGTGGGTGGTGAAAGAGGAGTCAGAGAAGGCCAGAGGGAGAGGTGAGCAAAGATCCAGCAGAACACCTTGTTACAAAGTTTCGAGGAGGGTGGGAGGGGTGGAAGCCAGGACGGGTAGCAGAAGGAAGAAAACTTCCAGCAATAGGGATTGAGGTTCCACACGAAGTTACCAATGACATTTCAAGGAATGAAGGCTTTTCCTGAGGCTCCACAAATAAGGTGAATTCCCTGTGTCTCGCATCTTTGGAGCTTCCCCGAGGCCAGGGGGAGCAGGGTTGTGCCCTCTGACCTCTAAATATCTGGGGTTCAGTTCTATAATTAGCAGCACCGGATAGGACGCGAGCCAAACCTCTCTTAACCCTAGCCAGTCCCTCCAGGAACTGAAAAGATGAAGAATTCATTTAGGAGATTTCACACTCGGCTGTTTGGCCTAGCCCAGTGAAGTCCCTTTTCATCACGCAACCCTAATGACTCTTAGGGCTGTCACTGCCGTCTGGTGTTGCCAGGGATCTGACTAAACCGTCTTGCAAAAGTTTGCAGCATTCACCCGAGGCGGACTACAACTCCCAGAATTCCGGGCGCTCCCCGGTGCTGATTGGCGGAGCCCGTGACTCCAGGGGGCGGAGTTTCCCCCGCCTCCCCGGGGAAACAGACCTCTGATTGGCTGGACCGCCGGGCTTTTGTGTCCCCGCCCTCCCCCGGGGACCGCAGCGGGCTGAACTGCTGGTGTCAGAGCCCGGCGAGCGCTGGCAGTTCCGCGGCGGGGATGCTGAGGAGCGCTGGGTCCGGGAGCAGCCCTGGCCCCTGCGGACTTCCGAGGCCGTGAAAACCCCTGCGCTGCGGCCCTTCCCAGGCCCCCGAGGCCGTTCGCCGTTCCCGAAGCCCGACTGGGGGAAGAGTCCAGCACCAAAGCGGCCGTTCTCGGATTCCGGAGCGTTCTGGAGCCCCGAGAGACGCCCCGGGGTTCTAGAAGCTCCCCGGCGGCGCCCAGTCCCGGCTTCATTCGGGCGTCCCTCCGAAACCCACTCGGGTGCACGGGTCGTCGGCGAGCCGCGACCGGGTCCTGGCGCGCACCATGATCGTGGCGGACTCCGAGTGCCGCGCAGAGCTCAAGGACTACCTGCGGTTCGCCCCGGGCGGCGTCGGCGACTCGGGCCCCGGAGAGGTAAGCGGCGGCCGCGCGACGCCCCTCTTCCCTGGAACCCCGAACCGCGTCTGAGCCTCAGGCTGTCCGGAGCTGAGTCGGTGTGTCCTGGGCTCGGGGAGGGAAAGCCGAGCGCGTAACCCGGGACCCGGGTTGCATCAACTGGCAGCCGCGGCCCTCGGCACCCCTCCCCCACTCTGTCTCCCCTCTCCCTCCTTCTCCCCCTCCCTCTCCCCCTCCTCCCTCCCTCTCCCCCTCTCCCTCACCGCCCCACCCCAGGGCCGCGGATCCTTCCTCGGCTCCCTCGGACTCCTGGCCAATGAGGGAGAAGCCTTCTGGAGGCTCTCCGAGCTTTGGGCTCCTGAGCGTCTTCAAGTCCAGGCAAATCCCGGCCGGAGCGGCCAGACCACTCCTCCTCCCCGCCCCCTTCCGCGGAGTCCCTTCCTCTTCGCGGGGGCCGGCGGGCAGAGGACCCTTCCTGGGGTGCCTCCCGGCTCCTGTCCCCCAGCGCGGGGCGTAGGCACCTGGGACTGGCCAGTGAAAGTCGACCTCATCCTATGTCCACCGCACTCCTGCTTTGGAGGGAGAGCGCAGGGGCTCTGGGGGCTTGGCGGGCCGCCCGGTACGCGGCGGCGGCAGCCAAAGCTGGGGGGAGAGGGGACAACCCTGGTCGCGGCTTCCGAAGCCAAGCGCGGGTTAGGCTGCGCCCTGCTAAGTAAGTGGTCTGAAGGCCCAGAAGTTTGTTTTCCAGAAATTCCTCCCCCACCCTCCCTTCGCGCCGCTCCCCTCCACCCCCCCGCATTCGCATCCCGGCATAGCCCGCAGGGGCTTTGCAGGGAGACCGGGAATTAGGCTGGACCTAACCAGACTGACAGTTCGCACTCCCCCACCACTACCAGCAGCAGCGATAATGGACATCTTATCATTTATTATGCACCTACTAGATACCAGGCTCTGAGTTTTTTTCGCCTTTAACCTAAGTCCTCAGGACTAAACCAGCAATACAAGCTACGCTATAGCCCCATTTTACAGGAAGAACATTGAGGCCCACGATGGGCTCAGAAAGAGGCTTTCTTCATTAACCCCACTGAATATCTTGTTCTTTGGCCTTATGATTTCGGAGATTGCACGGCACTAGGAGCTTCTAGTTGCTTTAGTTTACAGGCCTAGAGTGTGGTGGAAGTTGTATTCTGGACCTGGGATTTGGTGGAGTGCTATGACCCCAGGAAAATCCCTGCTTTTCTCTTAGTAACGTGGTTTCTGGGGATCCTACCTCCGTCGGTGTATAGTTTGTGCCCTGGTTTTTGTTAGCTTGCTTACCCTTCTCTGCCGTGATTTAGGAGCGCCATGTGGAGGAATGGCTCTTCTCCTGCAGCTTCTCAGCTGTGTGACTTCTTTGGAAAGATGGAAATAATGTTACTATTGAGAACACCTGAACACTAGAGAGCAAGAGTGCTGGGTTCATGTCCCAGCCCTCCTGCTAACTTGCAGTGTGTGGCTTAGCCAGTAATCACTTCTCTGATCTGTGGTTTCTTCCCATGGGGATTTTACAGTATCTCTAAGGGATTGTTGGGAGAATTAACTCAGAATACAAGCAAAAGCTGAAGCACTGTGACTGGAACATAGTAACTGCGTGATACTTGCTTGCTATTATCAGAACGTGGCCATGGCACGCACAGCTTTCTCCAGAGTGTCTCACAAGGGGGTGCCTGAGCCTGTTCCTGAGATCAGACACTGTACACCCCTCTCTGGGTCAGTGCCTGGTCTAGGGAGAAAAGGCTTTGAGGGAGGGATCTTTACACAGAAGCCATGTTTCCTCAGTGGAGAAAACTGCTGCTATCTGGGAGGTTTCTTTTTCTTATCTTTTTTTTTTTTTTTTTTTGAGATGGAGTCTTGCTCTGTTGCCCAGGCTGGAGTGCAGTGGCACGATCTCAGCTCACTGCAACCTCCATCTCCCAGGTTCAAGCAATTCTCCTGCCTCAGCCTCCCTAGTAGTTGGGATTACAGGCACCCGCCACCATGCCCAGCTAATTTTTGTATTTTCAGTAGAAACAGAGTTTCAGCATGTTGGCCAGGCTGATCTTGAACTCCTAACCTCAGGTGATCCACCTGCCTTGGCCTCCCAAAGTGCTGAGATTACCGGCATGAGCCACCGCACCTGGCCTATCTGGGAGATTTCTGTGTATTCCTCTCTCGAGAAAAGAGGACCTTCGGACGGTTTCTGCTTTGAGTGGTGGCATCCTTAGAAGACAGCAGGGTGCTGATCTTTGAGTCAGGTGCCCGAGGTCCAAGAGAAGACCCAGGCGTGCAGCTCCCTTAACTCCCTGTCACTTCACCACACACTCCCTTTCAGGAGCTCATTGCCTTCAGATGTGTGTATCTTCAGAAAGTTCCAAGGGCTTCACTCTAGTACTGGTAGTATTGGGCTCCCGAATAACTTTCTCGGCCAGATGCAGTGGCTCATGCCTGTAATACTAACACTTTGGGAGGCCGAGGCAGATGGATTGCTTGAGCCCAGGAGTTCAAAACCAGCCTGAAACCCTGTCTCTACAAAATATACAAAAGTTAGCCAGGCGTGGTGGTGTGCGCCAGCTACTTCGAAGGCTGAGGTGGGAGGATTGCTTGAGCCTGGGAGGCGGAGGTTGCAGTGAACTGTGATCATGCCACTGCACTCCAGCCTGGGTGACAGAGCAAGAGTCTGTCTCAAAAAAAAAAAAAAAAAAAAAACCAGGCTGGGCGCGGTGGCTCGCACCTGTAATCCAAGCACTTTGGGAGGCCGAGGTAGGTGGATCACAAGGTCAGGAGATTGAGACCATTCTGGCTAATACGGTGAAACCCCGTCTCTACTAAAAATACAAAAAATTAACCCTGCGTGGTGGCACACGCCTGTACTCCCAGCTACTCCGGAGGCTGAGGTAGGAGAATTGCTTGAACCTGGGAGGCAGAGGTTGCAGTGAGCCGAGATCGCTTCACTGTACTCCAGCCTGGGTGACAGAGTGAGACTCCGTCTCAAAAAAAACAAAACAAAACAAACTTTCTCAGACATCATTTCTTCTTCAGGGAAGCCCTTCCTCCCCCACTAGATAAGTCCCCTTGCACACCCTCCTCCATTCCCTCCATTGTAGGAGCTTTGGTCCCAATTATGTGAAATAGTCCCTTGCTGGAGATACCCTGCAAGTCTCATCCCCAGCACTGCTCTTTGCACCTAATAAGTGTTCGTGACTAGTTGCCCCTTGCTGGCTTAGCTGACCCTTGTGAACTATTCCAGCCGTGGAGTCAGATCTGAATTGTGCCCATTTGGAAGAGGACCTTTCTGAGCCTCTCTGACCTGTTTCCGAAGAAGGGATTATAAGAACTGTTTCCCTCTGGGTGGTTGGGAGGAATTGGCACAATCAGATGTGTAAAGCACTTAGCGTGGTTCCCAGCTCATGATGGGCAGACAAGTGTATGGCACCACTCACTCACACCCCCTCCACCCTGCCCACTCCAAGGCTGGAGGTCCTGGGCTGCTTGGGCTGTATTTCCGTATCGTCTTCTCAGGCATAAACCCAGGAAAATATCTGAATTCAGCTGGGGGTGAGGGAAGGAGAAATAGTGTCTGTTCCTTCCCAGCTGGCAGAGTGGGTAACCAGGTGTCTGTAGCTGAGACCAGGGACTTACAGGCTCTATAAAGGATAATATAGGGTAACCGAGAATAAAGTCTGGGGCTTCTCCAAGAAGCCGATATGGGTAGTAGACAGAACCCTTGGAAGCCAGACTGAGCTGGGTTCAACTCTCCAAGGCTGGGGCTGCTTCCCAAAGCTGTTATTATGAAGTGGAATGGACCTTAGAAGCCAGGCAGCCGTGGGTTCAGATCTCAGATTGGCTACTTGTCAGCTGGTGCCTAACCTTTGAACCCTTAGTCTTGTGTGCAAAATAGAGACTCTGCCGCCGCCCCAAAACAGATGAAAATTAGATGGAACCTGTGTGCAAGTACCTGAGCTAATTTAAAAGTTAACATATAGTAAGTGCTTAAATTAGGATCCATGCCAGGCATGGTGGCTCATGCCTGTAATCCCAGCACTTTGGGAGGCTGAAGTGGGAAGATCGCTTGAGCCCAGGAGTTTGAGACCAGCCTTGGCAACACAGTGAGACCTCATCTCTATTTAAAAAAAAAAAAAAAAAAGGCCAGGCACGGTGGCTCAAACGCCCATAATCCCAGCATATTGGGAGGCCAAGGTGAGCAGGTTATGTCTCTACTAAAAATACAAAAATTAGCCGGGCTTGGTGGCGCATGCCTATACTCCCAGCTACTTAGGAGGCTGAGGCAGGAGAATTGCCTGAACTCAGGAGGCGGAGGTTGCAGTGAGCCAAGATCACGCAACTGCACTCCAGCCTGGGTGACAGAGCGAGACTCCATCTCAAAGAAAAAAAGAAAAAAAAAGAAAAAATTAGGAGCCAGGCACAGGTCTGGGGCCATTATCCTCTTTTTACAGTTTGTGTGAAGACCTTCATGTTGAATGACCACCTAAAGGGTTAACTTTAGTGTTCCTGTTGCCCCATGTGATCTGTTTAGTTGAAATTATAAAAATACCCAACACTGGTTCTCCCTCTGTCCCACACTAGCTGTTATTTTGGACAGGTGACCTGACCCCTCTGTGTTGCACTTTTCTTGTTCTGTTACGTGGAACTGGAATCATGCCTTTATCAGGTCTACTGAACCTGTACCATCCAATATGGTAACCCCTCACTACATGTGGCTATTTAAATTTAGATAAATTAAAATTAAATAAAATGAAAATTTTTTGTTGCATTTGTCACATTTCAAATGCTCAGCCACAGTGACTAGAGACTCACATTTCTTGGACAGTACAGATATAAAACATTCCATCATCGCAGAAAATTCTGTTGGACTGTGCTATGCTAGGCACTGGGGTAACAACAAAGAACTAGATTCAGTGTGTGCCCCCAAGTGTGACAGGTGCTGTGACTGGAGCTTCTCATTCTTGGTGAGTCCCAGATGCAGCAGCCTGGAGACTATTGAGACCTTGAGAAGTTTAGAGAATGGGGAATCATTTCTGCACTTGCAGAAACCTGGGTTGTATCCCAGCCCTGCTACTGCCTTCCTGCCTGAGTAGCCAGAAGTGAGTTGACCTCTCTGAGCCTTGTTCCTCATCTGTAAAATGGAAGCCCTAGTAGTAGCTTCTGCCCTAAAGTCCAGGTAGTGCATGTGAAATTAATGCTTAGCCAGTGGTAACCAGCCTTGTTATGCACCATTGTTATTACTGACTCCCCAGTCCAGGGAATTGGGCAGGGAGGGCTGACTTGGAGGGGTCATTTCTTGGCAGTGGTATGCTGCCCTGCCTGCTTCCTCTGTCAGGATCGGGGAAGCATTCAGGGTATTGGAGCCATGGATTCAAATCTACTTGGTTTTGCCTTCAGGGCTTTATACTCGCGTTCCCTCTGGCTGGAATGCTGGTCCCCCTAGTTTTTGGGGTGTGTGTTTGTTTGTTTTGAGACGGAGTTTCACTCTTGTTGCCCAGGCTGGAGTGCAATGGTGCGATCTCAGCTCACCACAACCTCCACCTCCTGGGTTCAAGCAATTCTCCTGCCTCAGCCCCCCGAGTAGCTGGGACTACAGGCATGCACCACCATGCCTGGCTAATTTTTTGTATTTTTAGTAGAGACGGGGTTTCTCCATGTTGGTCAGGCTGGTCTCGAACTCCCAACCTCTGGTGATCCGCCTGCCTCGGCCTCTCAAAGTGCTGGGATTTCAGGCGTGAGCCACTGCGCCCGGCCTGTTTGTTTTTTAAGAGAGGGTGTCCTGCTGTGTTGTCCAGACTGTTCTCAAATTCCTAGCCTCAGGTGATCCTCCACCACCAAGCCTTCCAAAGTACCGGGGTTACAGGTGTGAACCACCCCACTTAGGCCCCCTAGATCTTTACAGGCCTTGCTGTCTTCTCATCATTTAGATAACAGCTCAAAGACCACCTCCTCAATGGCTTCTCCTGTCTACTTACACTAAAATATTGCACACTCTCCCTCCCCATCATACAGTTACTGTTTATTTCACTCACTTTATAGAATCTGTGCTTTGAAATCCTGTTTATCAGATTCTGAATTATATGAAGGCCAAGGGCTTTGTCTTTTCACTGCTGTATTCTTGCTGCTTGCAATATAGCCATCAAAAATATTTGTTGAGTGAACAAATTAATTCTGTTTCCACCTAGAAAGCACTTAGCATAGTGCCTTATACTTGAGAAAGTGATCAATAAATGGTGTAAACAATGGTCCTCACCCTGGCTGTTATGCTGGGGCCCCACCCCAGATAACTAAATTAGAATTGCGGGAGGTGGGACCTTGGCATTGTTATTTTTGTAAAGCTTCTCAAAGGATTCTAATGTACCGCTTGGGTTGAGAAGCCCTTGTTTGATACAGCAAGGAGGTTAATGATACCTGACTTTTTATTAAGTGCTTATTGTTATGGAGGTATTGAGGTAAGCTACACAGTGTTATCTCATGAAATCCTCATCACTGGCCAGTGGAAGTAGTTACTGCTATCCCCATTATTTGGTAAAGAAACTGAGGCTCATAAAGCTAAGGGATAGCAGGTGGTGGAGCTGTCATTTGAGCTCATGCAATTTGTGTCAAGAGCCCCATCTTTTTTTTTTTTTTTTTTTTTGAGACAGGGTCTTGCCCTGTTGCTCAGGCTGGAATGCCGTGGTGCGATCATAGCTTGCTGTAACCTCAAACTCCTGGGCTCAGGCAGTCCTCCTGCCTCAGCCTCCTGAGTAGCTGGGACTACAGGTTGTGTGCTACCATGCCCAGCTAATTTACTGTTTGTGGAGACAGGGGTCTCACTGTGTTGCCCAGGCTGGTCTCGAATTCCTGGCCTCAAGCGATCCTCTTGCCTCAGTGTCCCAACGTGCTGGGATGAGCTGCTGCGCCAGCCAAGGGCCCCTATCTTTTAACTGCATTGTATATTGTTGTTGTTGTTGTTATTGCTGAAAGTGTTGATGGATCCAGACCGATGACTTAGAGCTCCTTCTTTTGACAATTCCTGGGTCAGATTTTGGAGTGAGTTGGGATTCCCAAGGCTATTCCTATCCTTCCCTAGCACCCCTGATGGGCCGTCTCTGCCTCCCCCAGTTTTGCTCCACCCTACCCTGCTGTGGCTTGCTATTCTGTCCTCAGGTCCCCTGAGGTGGAGGCCCAGTTTGTGGAGTCAGCAATCCTTATCTCCTATACAGAGCTGTTGGGCTTTTTCTTTGGTGAGGGGGAGGGAAGCTCCAAAGGGGAGTGCTCAGGGATTGTGTTGGTTACTACGCTGAACTTGGACCAGCCTGGCCCGGAAGTTCCCAGAAGTGTGGGCTGAAGGGGGCCTGCACGGTCAGCTCAACTCCCTTTTTGAAGGTAGCTGGGCTACTTTACCTACCAGTTTAGTAGGTAAAGAGAGTTTAGGCCTTTAACTTTCCCAGAGCCACATAGCAAGTTAGTTGCAGAATTGGTACCTATTCCAGAGACTTTGTAGTCTTCTGGAGTCCCAGAGCTCTGCCTCCTCAGTGGGCTTTTGGCCATCTGAGAAGGAAGGTTCAATTATAGTTTTTGGTTCCCGGATACCTGAGGGCTGGTACTAAGTCTGGATCTTAATGGGAAGGGGAGAACTGGGCGCCTCCTATCCCTGTCCAGTGAGAGCATGGCTCTGATTTGGGTAAACTGTAAACAAGACCAGTGCTGAGAGCCACCTCCACTCTCAGATTAACAAAATAAATTAATAAGTAGAGCATCCTTCCTGAACCCCATCTCTAGGACTAGGAGAAGCAGATGTAGTGAGTACCTGATATTAGTGGTTTCTAAAGAGGCTGCAGCATATAACAGGTCAAAACAGTTGCTCCCATCAGCCTTGTACACCCTGCTCAGATTCCCTCCGTGCCTTTCTGCTTTCTCTGTCTTCATTCACAGACTAGTATGAATGACCTGGCGCTGCTCTCCACTAAATGTGATCTGGTGTCAGGGAAACAAAACAGACAATTTGATGACAGTGTTTTTAGAAGCAAAAGCCCTGGGAATTTTGGGGTCATAGGTGAGGGCCAGAAAAAGGTTCCTAGACTATTGTGGTTTAGCTTTGCAAAAGGAGTGACCACTGGGACTGGGCCAGTTGTATCTGGAAGCCCATGGGAGGGGGAGGTAGGGTTTTAAGCCAGTTGATCGGATTTATATTCAGAAAGTTAATGTGGCTACTGGGTAGAGGATGGATAGGAGAGGCCAGGGCTAAGGAGGCCGGGGGACAACTGGCGAGGTTGTGAGTAGTGGTCCAGACAAGAGGGGGTGGTAGTTAATGAGGTGGTGGTGGTGGGAGGACAGATAAGCAGCCAGGCATGGTGACTCCCATCTGTAATCCCAGTGCTTTGGGAGGCCAAGGCAGGAGGATCCATTGAGCCCAGCAGTTTGAGGCTATAGTGAGCTATGACTGCACCACTAAAGAAGAGGCCAGGCGTGGTGGCTCATTCCAGTAATCCCAGCACTTTGGGAGGCTGAGGTGGGCGGATCACCTGAGGTTGGGGATTCGAGACCAGCCTGGCCAACATGGAGAAACCCAGTTTCTACTAAAAATATAAAATTAGGTGAGCGTGGTTGTGCATGCCTGTAATCCCAGCTACTCGGGAGGCTGAGGCAGGAGAATCGCTTGAACCCAGGAGGCAGAGGTTGCAATGAGCTGAGATCGCACCATTGCACTCCAGCCTGGGCAACAAGAGCGATACTCCGTCTCAAAAAAAAAAAGAAGCAAAAGAAGGAAGGAGAAGGAAGGAAGGAAGGAAGAAGGAGGAGGAGGAGGAAGAAAGGAAGGAAGGAAGGAACGAACGAACATGTGAGAGAAATTGAAGCTGCTTCTGAAGCATCTGGGGTACTTGGTTACCTGGCTTCAGGGTGCAAACTGTGGTGTGTTCTTGTATAAGTTCTCTGGGACCACTAAGAAGGTGGCCTCCTGGAGATGTGCAGCATGATGGCTATATAGTTCCTTTTCCAGGACCCTCCCATCCCGCAATGCTGGGATTCTTGGGTCCCAACCCAGTTCCTGAAGAACTCAGCCTGGAGTGAGCCCTCTTTCTTGATTACCCTTCCAAACATGTGTATATCTCCCATCTGGCTCCACCATCCAAAGTATGCTAGAAAGGTGGGTTTAACACTTCAGTGTAGCCCCTTGGATAGGAGGAAGAGGCTGGATAGGTAATAATCCTCTTTATTCTCCCTTCTACTACGGACTAACCTCATATGTTTCCTCCCAGGAGCAGAGGGAGAGCCGGGCTCGGCGAGGCCCTCGAGGGCCCAGCGCCTTCATCCCCGTGGAGGAGGTAAGCTTGGAAGGGGTTAGGGATCTTTGGTCCCTGGGAAGAAAGGACATGGCATATTGGTAGGCAGGCATCTTTTCCTGTTCTTTAAATTGCAGCTTTTAAGCTATTCCTTTCTGATTTCTGATTCATTTAATTCACAAAACGGCTTTGTGAAGCAGGCACTGTCAACTCCATTTTACTGGGAAGAAACAGGCTCAAAGAAATCAAGTGCTAATAGCCAGGTAGTGGCCAAACTTTTTTTTTTTTTCATGCTCAAACTTTTGATTCCTAGATCAGTGCCTGCTTTCCCTTAAGAAGATAGAACTATCTATCTCATCCATGACCATACATATATTACACGCTCTTTTCTGTTTTAAAAGTAATATATGTTTATTATTTTAAAAATTTCCATTGTTTCAGAAAGCTCTGATCTCCTGTATCCTCCTGCACCCTGCAGAGATCATCACTGTTAACCATTTGCCACTGTTTACTGTGCTTTTTTCAAGCCAATACTTACTTTCAGTACAGAACCAAGGTCATAGTTTACAACGTGTTTTTTTGTTTTGTTTTTCACTTAATACAAGAAAGACATCTTTCATCTACTGAGTCAGTTCATTCATTCATTTACTTAACATATCTATTAAATGATTAATCTATGTCAGGCACTGTTCTGGTTGCTTGGGATATAGTAGTGAACAAGACAGACAAAAATATTTGCCATTATGGAGCTTACATTCTAGTGTGTTGGGATAGTGGAGTTACCTTCAAAACATGCAGAAAAATGTAAAACTAGTTTCCTCATTTTATTTGGCCATCAGTGAACAAGGACAAATTTTTTGTTTTGCCGGCCGCAGTGGCTCACGCCTGTAATCCCAACACTTTGGGAGGCCGAGGCGGGCGGATCACGAGGTCAGGAGATCGAGACCATCCTGGCTAACACGGTGAAGCACCGTCTCTACTAAAAATACAAAAAATTAGCCAGGCGTGGTGGCGGGCGCCTGTAATCCCAGCTACTCTGGAGGCTGAGGCAGGAGAATGGCATGAACCCGGGAGGCGGAGCTTGCAGTGAGCCGAGATCGCGCCACTGCACTCCAGCTTGCGTGACAGAGTGAGACTCCGTCTCAAAAAAAAAAAAAAAAATTTGTTTCCTCTCTTTGCTTTTCCTAAATGTGTAGGGCGAGTGGTTAAGGAGCTAACAAACATTTACCCTCCTTCTAAACCCCTTGTTCCTCTACTCCTTTGTAAATATAAGGCGAACAACCACTTGCCGATTATTTATGTCTGTGACCCAGAATTCTAAGCTCAAGTATTGCTCTTGTCTTTTATTTTTTCATTTATAAGTGACCACCTTTTTTTTTTTTGAAACGAAGTTTTGTTCTTGTTGCCCAGGCTGGAGTGCAATGGCACGATCTTGGCTCACCGCAACCTCTGCCTCCCAGGTTCAAGCAATTCTCCTGCCTCAAGCCTCCCGAGTAGCTGGGATTACAGGCATGAGCCACCACGCCCAGCTAATTTTGTATTAGCAGAGATGGGGTTTCTCCATGTTGGTCAGGCTGGTCTCAAACTCCGGACCTTAGGTGATCTGCCCATCTCTGCCTCCCAATGTGCTGGGATTACAGATGTGAGCCACCGTGCCCAGCCCACTCTTTTATAATAAAGAGAAGAAACAGGCAGCCAGGCACAGTAGCTCATGCCTGTAATCCCAGCACTTTGGGAGGCCAAGGTTTGGGGATCACTTGAGCCCAGGAGTTCGAGACCAGCCTGGACAACATAGTGGGACCCCGTCTGTATTAAAAAAAAAAGTTAAAAAGAAATAGGCTTTGGAGTTCATCTGGATTTGAATCTGCTTCTGTTATTTATCAGATCTGTGACTTTGAGCAAGGAAGAAAACTTCCTGGTTTCCTCATCTGGCAAAGTGGGGGAAATAATAGTATTCACCTCACAGGCTTATTGGCTAGATCCCATGAAATCACGCGGAGAAAACTGTAAGCTCAGGGATGGCATGGAGACAGCACTCAGGAAATGTGAACTATTTTGCACCCGCCCCCATGGTTATATGCATTTGCAGTGTTAGAATAGACACTCCATGAAGGGAGGAGAAACTGTACTTTTACTCTCTGTGCCTGATTTTTCCTACCTAAAAGTGGAGAAACAGAACTCCAGTTTTATAGTTGTTGTGAGAGTTAAATAAGTTAAAATATGCATTCTTGAACAGTGCTTGGCACATAGCATTGTATGTGTAAGTACTGGCCATTATTATATAAGGTACCTAATAAGTATTTATTGAATCACTTATTAAAATATGTGATCCTCCCCATTCTTTCTTTTTGGACACGGTGGTGGTTTTTAGTTTCTTGCCATTAAAAACCCACTGGAAGAATACATTGGTCTCTTTGATGAGTGGGGCAGGAGGGAAACCCATGCTCTCCTCCCCTTTGGTTGGCAGGTCCTTCGGGAGGGGGCTGAGAGCCTCGAGCAGCACCTGGGGCTGGAGGCACTGATGTCCTCTGGGCGAGTAGACAACCTGGCAGTGGTGATGGGCCTGCACCCTGACTACTTTACCAGCTTCTGGCGCCTGCACTACCTGCTGCTGCACACGGATGGTCCCTTGGCCAGCTCCTGGCGCCACTACATTGCCATCATGGTGAGCCTCTCTGGGCCTGACACTTGGAGAGGTGGCTTTGTGGTGGGTTCTGTCCTTTGATCTCTTTTCTGGGAGCTTTGTGAGCTGATTCCATAGACAAGCAGGGAAAGCCCTGGCTTTATCTAACTGTAGAGTTTTGGGTTTTTTGTTTTTATTTTTTCTCAGAAGGAAAATTTTAGGTTTTGAAGAAAGGCATCGTTAGTGCTTGTGTTAGGTACAGATTGGCAAACTGAGGTGCAAAAAGGAATCAGGTGGCCTGCAAGCTGGTGGCAGAGCTGGGGTTACTTAGAACTTAGATTTCCTGCCTCTTGGGGAACAGTGAGCCCTACAACCTCTCCCCTGATGGGGTACCCACCCTGAGCCAGGCACAAAAGGAGGAGGGTGACTCAGGCTGTGTCCACTACCTCCGCAGGCTGCCGCCCGCCATCAGTGTTCTTACCTGGTAGGCTCCCACATGGCCGAGTTTCTGCAGACTGGTGGTGACCCTGAGTGGCTGCTGGGCCTCCACCGGGCCCCCGAGAAGCTGCGCAAACTCAGCGAGATCAACAAGTTGCTGGCGCATCGGCCATGGCTCATCACCAAGGAACACATCCAGGTGCAGGGGGCAGAGAGGCGGGTGTCTGAGGGAGCACAGAGGCCTGGCTGGTGCCTGGTGGGTAACCCAGGGCAGGCACTGAGCAGCTCTGACCTCCCCCCTTGTCCCTTCCAGGCCTTGCTGAAGACCGGCGAGCACACTTGGTCCCTGGCCGAGCTCATTCAGGCTCTGGTCCTGCTCACCCACTGCCACTCGCTCTCCTCCTTCGTGTTTGGCTGTGGCATCCTCCCTGAGGGGGATGCAGATGGCAGCCCTGCCCCCCAGGCACCTACACCCCCTAGTGAACAGAGCAGCCCCCCAAGCAGGGACCCGTTGAACAACTCTGGGGTAAGTCACGGGCCTGGGTCTTGATCGGGGAGGAAGCGGGCATGACCTCTGGTCCTTAGGTAGAAGCTACTGCTTCCCAATCTCGTATCTGCACTACCTGCTGCTATGAGAGACCATAGAAAAGTTATTTGACTTTGAAGCTTAGTTTCCTCATCTGTGAAATGGGGAGATAAAGACCCTCTACTCACACTGGGCTGTGAGGGTTAAATGAAATACCATGTGACTGACACTGTGTATATGCCATAGGCTCAAAGCCTGTTGGTTTTAGCACTTTAAAACTACAAAGTTTACCTTTTACTCTGTAATGTGGCCTTGTATGTTTCAATACAAAAATACAGATACTTTAAAAATTCCTGCTCAGGGAAGATGTGTCTATTCTGTAGCTTTGTAAACGTCACTTTAGGAAGCACAGACCCCATGTGCTGTCCAGCACAGTGGCTGGCACAGAGGATGCCCTGGGCCTTTGTGAGCATTAGGAAGGCCTGGCCTCTGGGAAGGATGAGTGGAGCTTCCCAGAGGCTGAAGGAGGAGGAGTAGCTGGTCACCACGGGGCCTCTCCTGCAGGGCTTTGAGTCTGCCCGCGACGTGGAGGCGCTGATGGAGCGCATGCAGCAGCTGCAGGAGAGCCTGCTGCGGGATGAGGGGACGTCCCAGGAGGAGATGGAGAGCCGCTTTGAGCTGGAGAAGTCAGAGAGCCTGCTGGTGACCCCCTCAGGTACAGGGTCACAGGCATCCAGGCTCCCGTGGCTGCTCCTTCTTAGGCTATCTCTGGTGAGGAGGAGCCACCTCCTGCATTCCAGAGGCAGCCACTTCTCAACCTCCCGTCCAAGAGGTTCTGAGCATGGGCCTTGGGCTCAGACCTGGCTTTGAATCCTGGGCTGCTAGCCTTTCCGGCTGTGCGACCACTGACGAGTCACTTCCTAGCTCAGGGCTTCAGGATTGCTGTGTAGGGTTAGTGGGGCAGTAGAAGCAAAGATCTTAGCGCAGAGCCTGGCCCAGGGGGAACCGCTCCATAAATAACTGCCACTATTGTTGTTACCAGGGGCCTCGCTTCATGGGTCCATGGGCCTGATCCACCCCCTCCCCAAGGCCTGGCTCCAGCTGAAATCTTGCCCCACTCACTATAGCAAGGGGCTTTTTTTGGCCCTCTATTCTGCCTTCCCCTCCCCCTTTTGGTGATTAATCAGGAATGGACCCCTGCATGCCCCATGCCTCAGCCTCACTGTGACCTCTTTCTGGTCCTCAGCTGACATCCTGGAGCCCTCTCCACACCCAGACATGCTGTGCTTTGTGGAAGACCCTACTTTCGGATATGAGGACTTCACTCGGAGAGGGGCTCAGGCACCCCCTACCTTCCGGGCCCAGGTAGGGCTCTCTCTACTAGTCTTGGCCATTGCTCCACATTTACGAACAAGCAGTGGGTGGATAGTTTGAGTAGTTACAGAGTTAGGTACCCAGCTGGGCATGGTAGCTCACACCTGTAATCCCAGCACTTTGGGAAGCCAAGGTGGGAGGATTGCTTGAGCCCAGGAGCTTGAGACTAGCCTGGGCAACATGGCGAAACCCTGTCTCTACAAAAACATTTAAAAAATTAACTGGAAGGTGGCGCATGCCTGTAGTCCCAGCTACTTGAATGGCTGAGGTGGGAGGATCACTTGAGCTGGGAGATCAAGGCTGCAGTGAGCTGTGATCGCGCTACTGCGCTCCAGCCTGGGTGACAGCAAGATCCTGTCTCAAAAAAAAAAAAACAGAGTTGGGTACGTTATTTCCCTCAAGATTCCACGAGGGCAGTGGGGTCCCTGTGAATCCTTAAGGGACCCATCTATACCCTAAGCTCAGGGGTTGCTGATCATAAGGAGAAGGTCATCACCAAAGTATACCTTCCTTGACCTCTCAGGCCCAGAGCAAGCAGCACGTTAGGTTTATGGCACCAGGAAGGAGAATCATGGAGATCCCAGGTCCAGAGGATGGGGGTCTCTCTGGCTGGTCTTGGGCTCCAAAGACTCACCAATCCCTTCCCACCTACCTAAGGATTATACCTGGGAAGACCATGGCTACTCGCTGATCCAGCGGCTTTACCCTGAGGGTGGGCAGCTGCTGGATGAGAAGTTCCAGGCAGCCTATAGCCTCACCTACAATACCATCGCCATGCACAGTGGTGTGGACACCTCCGTGCTCCGCAGGGCCATCTGGAACTATATCCACTGCGTCTTTGGCATCAGGTGAGCTCATATCCCTTCATTTGGGGCATGTGTGCACTGTAAGTCTTCACTCTGGGTTCACAGTTGTTTCCATTTTCTTTTTGTTTTTTTCTTTTCCTTTCTTCTTGCCTATACTGTTTTTCAAAGCAAATTGTGATTTTAAAAGATGACAGTACTCATTGTTTGAACGTTGTAAATGAAACTCTTTAATTGCACTCCCAGAGATAATTATTGTTTGATATTTATGTACATATATATACACACACACACATACTCACACATATATACACATATACATGCATACACACACACACACACACACACTATATATATATGTAGAGAGAGTTATGTTTGTATTTCCATTCTGAGTAGTAATTCTCCCATAATAAATAAGGACAACATAAATGCTCAGTAGGGGACTTTAAATAATGATACGTCTATTCAGTGAAATACTATGCAGCTGTTAAAAATTACAATAGGCTGGGCGCAGTGGCTCATGCCTGTAATCCCAGCACTTTGGGAGGCCGAGGCGGGCGGATCATGAGGTTAGGAGTTCGAGACCAGCCTGACCAACATGGTGAAACCCCGTTCTACTAAAAATAAAAAAATTAGCTGGGTGTGGTGGTAGACATTTGTAATCCCAGCTACTCAAGAGGCTGAGGCAGGAGAATCGCTTGAACCGGGGAGGCGGAGGCTGAAGTGAGCTGGGATCGTGCCACTGCACTCCAGCCTGGGTGACAGAGCAAGACTCTGTCTCAAAAAAAAAATTACAATAGAGGCCAGGCGCGGTGGCTCATGCCTGTAATCCCAGCACTTTGGGATGGCAATGTGAAAAGATTGCTTGAGACCAGGAGTTCAAGACGAGCTTGGGCAACATAGTGAGACCCCCATCTCTACAAAAAATTAAAAAATTTGCCTGTGTGGTGGCATCACTGGAGTCCAGGAGTTCGAGACCAACCTGAGCTACATGGTGAAACCCCATATCTATGAAAAATAACAAAAATTAGCCAGGCATGGTGGCTGACGCCTGTAGTTCCAGCTACTTAGGAAGCTGAGGCAGGAGGATCCCTTGAGCCTGGGAGGCAGAGGTTGCAGTGAGCTGAGATCATACCACTGTGCTCCAGCCTGGGCAACAGAGCAAGACGCTATCTCAAAATAAATAAATAAAATTGAAAAATACAGATAACAAAAAAGAAAATAAAGGCTGGGTGCAGTGGCTCACACCTGCAATCCCAGCACTTTGGGAGGCTGAAGCAGGAGGATTACATGAGGCCAGGAGTTTGTGCCTCAGCCTGGACAACATAATTAAGACCCATCTCTACAAAAAAATAAAAATTAGCTGAGTGTGGTGGTGCATGCCTATAGTCCCAGGTATTCTAGAGGCTGAGACAGGAGGATCACTTGTGCCCAAGAGCTCAAGGCTATAGTGAGCCATGAATGCACCACTGCACTCCAGCCTGGGCCACACAGCGAGACCCTTCACTAAAAAAATACAAAATAAAATTTAAAAAAAATTATCCATTATACTATCTGCTGTTATTATTATCAGTTATCTCCTTCCTGTCTTTTTCTTTCCTTTTTTTTTTTTTTTTTTTTTTTTTTGAGACAGAGTTTCAATCTTGTTGCCTAGGCTGGAGTGCAATGGGGTGATCTCAGCTCACTGCAACCTCCGCCTCCCGGATTCGAGGGATTCTCCCGCCTCAGCCGTCCGAATAGCTGGGATTACCAGCATGTGCCACCACGCCCAGCTAATTTTGTATTTTTAGTAGAGATGAGATTTCTCCATGTTGGCCAGGCTGGTCTCAAACTTCTCACCTCAGGTGATCTGCCCGCCTCAGCCTCCCAAAGTGCTGGGGTTACAGGCATGAGACACTGCGCCCAGCCTTTTTTTTTTTTTTTTTTTAATTTATTTATTTATTTCTTTATTTTTGAGACGGAGTCTCGCTCTGTTGCCCAGGCTGGAGTGCAGTGGCTCAATCTCTGCTCACTGCAACCTCCGCCTCCCAGGTTCAAGCAATTCTCCCTGCCTCAGCCTCCTGAGTACCTGGGATTACAGGCACATGCCACCATGCCCAGGTAGTTTTTTGTATTTTTAGCAGAGATGGGGTTTCAGCCTGGTAGCCAGGATGGTCTTGATCTCCTGACCTCATGATCCGCCCACCTTGGCCTCCCAAAGAGCTGGGATCACAGGCGTGAGCCACTGCGCCTGGCTTTTTTTTTTTTTTTGAGACAGAGTCTTGCTCTGTCACCCAGGCTGGAGTAGAGTGGAGTGATCTCAGCTCACTGCAACCTCCAGCTCCTGAGCTCAGGTGATCCTTCTGCCTGATCCTTCTGCCTCATCCTTCTTAGTAGCTGGAACTATAGGTGGGTGCCACCATGCCCAGCTAATTTTTGCATTTTTAGTAGAGATGGTGTTTCACCATGTTGGACAGGCTGGTCTGGAACTCCTCACCTCAAGCTATCCGCTCGCCTCAGCCTCCCAAAGTGTTGGGATTATAGGCGGGAGCCACCACACCTGGCACCTTTCTTTTTTTCTATGCACAAGTAACCAAAGCATATATAATTTACAAAAACAAGATCAGTTGCCATTTCCTTACCTATTCATTTCAGTTGTTTTATTCATTTACTCAAACATGAGCATGTTTTAGTGAACCCATGATTTTTTTTCCTGCCTTTCTCACTTAACAGTTTATACCAAACACCAAAAAATTATCCCCCAATTTTAAAAAAGGTACGTGCTCCTTGTAGAAAGTTTGTGTTTCTGTGTATTACTAGCTGTAAATCATATTTCACTGAATGGGTTGAGCTATACTTAATGAACCATCCTCTTACTCTAGTCACTAGTAGGTTTCCAACCCATGGCTGGCCAAGGACAGGCTTCTTAGAATGTGAGTTGGGCTGGTTTCCGCCCAGCCCTCAGGTCCAGGCTTCTCTGCTCTCCAACATGGTTCTTGCTCCTATTTCTTTGTCTTCCAAATCTGCCCTCCAGTTTCCAGCCAGTCATTCCTCTGTCTACACTGATCTGTTTTGACATTGGCTCCCCTCACTCACTAGACTGGGGATAACTAAGTGGCTTCTAGACTCATCATCAACTTGCTTTTTGGCTTTGAAGAAGTTAGTCATCTTCTCCAGGGCTTAGGTTGCCCATTTGTAGAATGAGTACAAGCACCTTTTTACCCTTATCCTCTTCCTTCTCCTCCACTGACCTCCTCCTCTACCTTCCATGGCCTTTACTACAGAGTAGTGGTTATGGCCCCTGAGCTAGGCAGAGCTGGGTTTAAAACCCATTCCTGTCCAGGCGTGGTGGCTCACGCCTGTAATCCCAGCACTTTGGGAGGCTGAGGCAGGCGGATCATGAGGTCAGGAGTTCGAGACCAGCCTGACCAACATGGTGAAACCCCATCTCTACTAAAAATACAAAAATTAGCCGGGCACAGTGGCATGTACCTGTAATCCCAGCTACTCAGGAGGCTGAGGCAGGAGAATTGCTTGAACTCAGGAGGCTGAGGTTGCGGTGAGCCGAGATCACGCCATTGCACTCCAGCCTGTGCAACAGAGCGAGACTCCGTCTCAAAAGAAAAACAAAAACATACTGAAATTAATGTAAAAAAATGTGAGCTAAGCTTTCTGCAACTCTGAAATCAAGTTATATCTCCTCCTTTAAATAAAACTGCCTTGTTGATCATGAAAAAACAAAAACAAAGACCATTCCTTGCTGTATTAACTAGGGCAAGTGACTTCCTTTCTCTAAATCTCAGTTTCCTCATCTATAACATGGGGTTGATGAATGTAGCAGATTGCATACACCATCCAGTCATGTACACAGTAGTGTAGAGTAGTTTTGAGGATTCCACATGGCACATAGTTGGTATTCAATACAGCATGCTCATTCTCTGCATTCCTTGACGTGGTCCCCTGCCAATGTGGCGGCCTGTGATAACACGATATCAGCTGTTTCTCCAAGAGGAACTAGGCTTCTTGTTGCTTCTACCTTCTGATTTTTCTCAACACTCTGTTCTTCCCTCTGTAGGGTGGGGTTGCGGGGAGGGAGCTGCCTTTGGGAAGAAAGCATGAGTAATGCTGCTGGGACCTTTCCATCCAGATATGATGACTATGATTATGGGGAGGTGAACCAGCTCCTGGAGCGGAACCTCAAGGTCTATATCAAGACAGTGGCCTGCTACCCAGAGAAGACCACCCGAAGAATGTACAACCTCTTCTGGAGGCACTTCCGCCACTCAGAGAAGGTATGACCTATACAGGCAGGGCAGGATGGAAGTAGACAGGCCAAGCCAGTGGAGAGGGCAAGGGGTTAGGACCCAGTGAGAGTCCCCAGACTGAGTCTGTCCTGCTAGGTGGGACACCTGGGCCTATTCCTCTGGATTGAAGTCCTATTCCACTGTGTGATTTCAGAGTCTGTTTACTCACCTGTAAAATGGGAATGAGGGTGCCTGCTTCACATTAGTGGTAGCTTGGTGGACCTGGGTTCAAATCATAACACTATCTCTTGATAGCAGTGTGACTTTCGGCAAGTCACATTATCTCGCTGAGTTTTTTTGTTTTTTTTTTTGAGATGAGTCTCCCTTTGTTGCCCAGGCTGGAGTGCAGTGGCACGATCTTGGCTCACTGCAACTTCCACCTCCCAAGTTCAAGCGATTCTCCTGCCTCAGCCTCCTGAGTAGCTGGGACTACAGGCGTGTGCCACCATCCCCAGCTAATTTTTTGTATTTTTAGTAGAGACGGGGTTTCACTGTGTTAGCCAGGATGGTCTTGATCTGACCTTGTGATCCACCTGTCTCGGACTTCCAAAGTGCTGAGATTACAGGTGTGAGTCATCGTGCCTGGCCTCTCTGAGCTTTTTATCCTGTTTTTTTTTTGAGACAGAGTCTTGCTCTGTTGCCCAGGCTGGAGCGCAGCGGTGTGATTTCGGCTCGCTGCAGCCTCCACTTCCTAGGCTCAAGTGTCCTCCCAACTCAGCCCCCAGAGGGCCTGAGGTACACACCACCTGATTTTTTAAATTCCTAGTAGAGATAAGGTCTCACTGTGTTGTCCATCCTGGTCTCAACCTCCTGAGTTCAAATGATCCTCCTGCCTCAGCCTCTCAAAGTTTTTTGTTTTTGTGATGGGGTCACACTATATTGTCCAGGCTGTATTTGAACTTCTGGACTCAAGTGATCCTCTCACCTCAGCCTCCCAAGTAGCTGGGATTTCATTTTTATAATGGGAATAAATACTGCTGTATTTCAAGGTTGCTGGGAAGATAAAATAAAAAAATGTACATAAACCTCTGCAACCTCTGTCTCCCGGGTTCAAGTAATTCTCCTGCCTCAGCTTTCCAAGTAGCTGGGATTACAGGCATCCACCACCATGCCCAGCTAACTTTTTGTATTTTTAGTAGAGATGGGGTTTCACTATGTTGGCCAGGCTGGTCTCGAACTCCTGACCTCCTGATCCACTCGCCTTGGCCTCCCAAAGTGTTGGGATTACAGGCGTGAGCCACCGCACCTGGCCATTTTACCTTTAGGGAATACAGAGCTTAGTCATGATAGGAATGAATGTGCTTGTCCTTGTACTAAACTGCTCAGAGCCTTAGCAGATGCTGGGGCAGCTCTGTAGGAAAGGAAATGGTGAGGTAAGTGGGTCAGGGATCAAGGCAGTCTGGGAGGGGTGTGGGGGTGAGGAGTGACATCAGTTGCCAACATGCCTTCCTCTGTGCCCCAGGTCCACGTGAACTTGCTGCTCCTGGAGGCGCGCATGCAAGCCGCTCTGCTGTACGCCCTCCGTGCCATCACCCGCTACATGACCTGACTCCTGAGCAGGACCTGGGCCCGGTTCAGCTCCCCACAAGGACTTCTCTGTCTGGAGACAGCCCCAGACCCTTTTGTGTCCCATGCCCACCCTCCCCACGCTGCAGTGGGCTTGTGTGTGATGTGCAGTCCCGAAGCCACACCCTCCCTTTTCCTCACTGGAATGGACAGTTCATTGCACTGACTCTGGGATCTCAGCCCTGCTCCTGGGAGCTGGAAGAGCACTTGGAGATCCTAAGGGACCACACCCTTCCTCCTTCCCCTGCCCACAGAGGCAGAGGGCACAGGAAAGAAGCCGGGCCAAGCTCGGAATTAATGTGCCACAAGTGTTGTGGCCTTCCTGAACTGGGAAGTCCCTGGCTGGCCCCCGGGGGAGAGGGGCAAATGCCTCCGGGACTGACACTCCAGGCAGCTTTGCCTTCTCTCCCCTGTCATTTCCAGATTTCATTACCTCCTACTTGCCATTCACCCATCAATGTGAAAGTCAGGGTCACAGCTGGTCTGTGTGTCCAGTTCCCTAAAAGCCTGTTCTGTTGGGCAGCCTGAGGCTGTTGCCCGAATCCTAGTTCAGTTTTTTGACTTCCTTTGCCCTTTTTCCCTTTTCTCCATGCTTAATGGTGTGAGGCGTCAGGAGAGAGGCCAAGTACATAAAAAAAAAAAAAGCAGATTATCTCTAGAGAGTTTGAGCCTTTGCTGGTCACATTGCCTTCTGAAGAGGAGGGAGTATTAGATTATAAATCCTCTTTATTTTGGTCCTTTATGCTTGAGGTTCCAACCTGGAGCCACAGTGTGTGAGAGGAGGAGGAGAGGGAGAATTCTGTTCTCCCAGAGCTGCACCTGCCTCGCAGAGGCCAGCACCCCACTCTCCTGCCTCCAGTGGCCCTGCCGCAGATGTCTCCCAAAAAGTTGAGCCTTTCTAGATGGCTTAGGTGGCACCATGGCTCAGCAGGAGGGGCGGGAGGCACCAGGGTTCTTGTTTGGACCCTGCCCCTGGGCCATGGCCAGGTGACCATGGCTACATTGCCAAACCTCTGACTGCCACAGCTGCAGACTGAGAGGGTGGGTCTGAGTCCCCACAATGTCTGAAGCTGCCCCTGGGATTCTCAGGCCAACCTGCCAACAGCAAGCGGATTTTCTTGCAAGATCAGGGACCCCATTTCTGCAGCCAGTGTCTCCTGGGTGCCTTCTGAGGACTCCCACCCCCATCCCAGTATCTCATCTGTCCCCTCTCCTGGGGCTTAAGTGGGTTGCTTCCAGGCAGAAGCAGCCAAGGACCGATTCCAGGCACTTTCTGTAGCAAATGACTGTGAATTACGACTTCTCTTGCCCTTCTTCTAGCAGTCTGTGCCTCCTCTCTGACCAGTTTGGAGGGCACTGAAGAAAGGCAAGGGCCGTGCTGCTGCTGGGCGGGGCAGGAGAGGAGCCTGGCCAGTGTGCCACATTAAATACCCGTGCAGGCGCGGAGAAGCAACCGGCACCCCCTTCCGGCCTGAAAGCCCTCCCTGCAAGAAGGTGTGCAGGAGAGAAGAGGCCCCGGCATGGGGATCTGGGTTCTAGAGGGCATGTGATGACTGTAAATGTTCACTGGGTGGGTAGGGAGTGGTATCCAGTGTTCAAGTGCAGAAATCTTTGGCTTTGCTACCAGTTCCATATGATGAGAAATAAACGTTCGCTGAGGTTTTGTTTCATACTCCCTTTTTATGGGCTGTTCTTTCAATTTCCTGAAGGTCATGGTTCACCTTGTAGCATAGGCAGAGAGCTGTGATTGCATCATGGGCCTGACCTGATAGCCCCTGCCCTGCCGAGAACTTGTGCCCAGTGATTGTAGGTTGGGACTGTTGGCACTGAAAGTCTACTTGTCCCTTGGACATCCAGTCCTGTCACCCTTCTGCGGCTGCCCTGGCACTGTGGAGTAATAATGACCATGGTGTTTTTCTAAGCCTGGCCATGGGCTGGGTACTTGGAGACCATTCCTCTGAATTTGCAGCAATCCTGTAGGAGAATTGAGACGGGTGAACTGACGTTGTTGAGGCCACATGGCTAATCGGTGGGGGAGCCAGGATTCCCCCCTGCTCTGCTTGACCCTGAGGCCTTGACATTTTACCTTGCTGTTTTGCCCACTACTGGACTTCCCCTGTGACAAAGAGGCTGTTTGAATCTGGAAGGACCCCCTTGTGTCCCCAACCCCACCACATTATGATTACCTGCTTCTCATCCTACCGCCTCCAGCACCAAGGAGACAACGCCAGGAACAAAGAGGTGCAACCCCCAAGCTGTGCCAGTGCCGTTTATGGCTGTGTGACCTTGGTCAAGCTTCTTAACTTCTCTGGGTACCAGGAACTAGTTAGCTTACCAGGAAAACCACATCATGTAAGAGCTAAGACCACTCCCGCGGGCTTCCTACTTCCTATAAATACCGCTGTCAGAACACTAGGTCTCTTCCAGGCAGCCTCCCCTAGTGGACTTTGTGTTCCCCTTCCCCTTGAGGTATCTGTTCATTTTCGCAGGATTCCTATACACTTCCCCTTCCTCTAGAGTCATTTGAGAGGGTGTGGGAGAAAGTGAATCACACTTGGAGTACAAAACCTGGATTCTGGTTCTGATTGAGCCACTCACTATATCGCTGGGGAGATTGATTAATTTCCCTGTGCCTCAAGTTTCCTCAGCCATAGAAATGGGGATAAAAGTTTTCCATTTCTTTTCCAGTTGGCATGCATTGGGTGTTTGTTTGAGATGGAGTCTCGCTCTGTCACCCAGGCTGGAGTGCAGTGTCACAATCTCGGCTCAACTGCAACCTCCATCTCCCAGGTTCTAGCAATTCTCCCACCTCAGCCTTCCTAGTAGCTGGGATTACAGGCACATACCATCACGCCCGGCCAATTTCGGTATTTTTAGTAGAGACAGGATTTCACCATGTTGGCCAAGCTGGTCTGGAACTCCTGAGCTCAAGTGATCCACGTGCCTCAGCCTCCCAAAGTGCTGGGATTACAGGCATGAGCCACTGCGCCCAGCCTATGTGGCATGCATTGAGTGTGACTGTTGCCAAATGTTTTCAAATTTAATCTCCCAATCTTCACAACAACCCTGTGAGGAAAGGGTCTGTTCCCATCCTATAGATGTGGAAATGGAACCTCAAATGAGAATCTGGGGAACACCAATTTAACAGACAGACCCAAATTCAAATTCCAGCTTTGACATTTAATGTCTGTCCGATCATGAGCAAGTTGCTTCAATACTCCCTCCTCAATTTCCTTATCTATGGGATGGAATTAATACCTAAGGTTACAAGAGGGTTGTGAGGATTAAATAATGCATAAAAACCACCTAGCACAGTTCAGGTACCTGGCATCTAGCATTCGCAAGCTGTTCAGGATTCAGAAATTTGCCCAAGCTCATGCGACTGAGGTAGAATTTGAATCCTTCTCATTCTGATTCCAGAGTTCTTTGTATTGCTTTTTTTTTTTTCTTTTTGAGATGGAGCTGGAGTGCATTGGTGTGATCTCGGTTCACAGCAACCTCCCCAGGTTCAAGTGATTCTCCTGCCCCAGCCTCCCCATGTTGCCAAGGGTGGTCTTGAACTCCTTTGCCATGTTACCGAGGGTGGTCTTGAACTCCTGGGCTCAAGCGATCTGCCCGCCTCAGCCTCCCAAAGTGCTGGGATTACAGGTATGAGCCACCATGCCCAACCCTGTATTGCATTATTTTTGTCTCCAAAGTGCCTAAATCCTCAATATGCATTTAAAAAAAAATAATGGCTGGGCACGGTGGCTTACGCCTGTAATCCCAGCACTTTGGGAGGCCAAGGCGGGTGGATCACGAGGTCAGGAGATCCAGACCATCCTGGCTAACACGGTGAAACCCCAACTGTACTGAAAATACAAAAAAAAAAAAAAAAAAAAAAAAAAAAAATTAGCCGGGCGTGGTGGCGGGCACCTGTAATCCCAGCTACCCAGTATTATTTAATCCTCACAACCCTCCTGTAACCTTAGGTATTAATTCCATCCCACAGATAAGGAAATTGAGGAGGGAGTATTGAAGCAACTTGCTCATGATCAGACTGATATTAAATGTCAAAGCTGGAATTTGAATTTGGGTCTGTCTGTTAAATTGGTGTTCCCCAGATTCTCATTTGAGGTTCCATTTCCACATCTATAGAATGGGAACAGACCCTTTCCTCACACGGTTGTTGCGAAGATTGCGAGATTAAATTTGAAAACATTTGGCAACAGTCACACTCAATGCATGCCACGTAGGCTGGACTACAGTCCCAGCCTGTAGGCAGGAGAATGGCGTGAACCCAGGAGGCGGAGCTTGCAGTGAGCCAAGATTGCGCCACTGCACTCCAGCCTGGGCGACAAAGGGAGACTCCTCTCAAAAAAAAGAAAAAAAAAATCATGTTTATTAGGCTGGACCTGATGGCTGACACCCATAATCCCAGCACTTTGGGAGGCCGAGGCAGGCGGATCATTTGAGGTCAGGAATTCAAAACCAGCCTGACCAACATGGTGAAACCCCGTCTCTACTCAAAATACAAAAATTAGCCAGGTGTCGTGGTGGGCGCCCGTAATCCCAGCGCCATTGCACTCCAGCCTGGGTGACAGAATGAAACTCTGTCTAATAAATAAATAAATATTTTTAAAATCATGTTAAATTTGCAAATGGAGTTGAAAACTCAGCTTCAGACTGGATCTAATGAATCTATTTTAGACTTCTGTAGCCTGCAACTCAAGACCTGTGCACATCTACCCAGGTTGGAATTTGCAGAAGGTTGTCGGTAGCTCAATTCTTTTTCTTTTTTTTTGTTTGCTTGTTTGTTTTTGTTTTTGTTTTTGTTTTTAGACAGAGTCACACTCTGTCGCGCAGGCTGGAGTGCAATGGTGCGATCTTGGCTCACTGCAACCTCTGCCTCCCAGGTTCAAGTGATTCTCCTGCCTTACCTCCTGAGTAGCTGGGATTACAGGCGCCCAACACTGCGCCCAGCTAATTCTTTTGTCTTTTGGAACCATGCTTGATTTGAGAACTGGTGAGAGTGAGTAGAAAAAGGAGCCGGGGCTGGGCATGGTGGCTCAAGCCTGTAATCCCAACACTTTGGGAAGCCAAGGCAGGTGGATCACCTGAGGTCAGGAATTTGAGACCAGCCTGACCAACATGGTGAAACCCTGTCTCTACCAAAAATTCAAAAATTAGCCGGATGTGGTGGTGCATGCCTGTAATCCCAGCTATTTCAGGAGGCTGAAAGAGGAGAATCGCTTGAACCTGCGAGGCAGAGGTTGCAGTGAGCCGGGATCGCGCCATTGCACTCCAGCCTGGGTAACAAGAGTGAAACTCCTTCTCTCCCCGACCAAAAAAAAAAAAGCCAAGTGAGTCTCCTCCAGCAGGTTGCAAACATTCACCAGAGCCCTAGAGCAGGTGGATTAGAGAAGTAGTTCACAGACTGTTTTGTGCCTTAGAATCTCATTAGAGAACCAGTGGTTGGAGGCAGAGCTCAGCAATCTGCATCTTTAATAGCTTCCTTGGTATGAGTTCTTTGAACAGATGTTATGGTTCTAATGTGTCACATGTCCTGGAGACTTAGCAGTGAAGGAGACAGACATGGTTCCTGCTTTCTTGGGATTTACTGTCAAGTGAAAGAGACAGACCTTAGACCGTTATGCAACTAATTATTTTTTATTTTTTTTTTTAATTTTTTTGAGATGGAGTCTCACTCTGTCAGCCAGGCTGGAGTGCAGTGGTGTGATCTTGGCTCACTGCAGCCTCCGTCTCCTGGGTTCAAGCGATTCTCCTGCTTCAGCCTCCTGAGTAGCTGGGATTACAGACATGCGCTACCATGCCTGGCTAATTTTTGTATTTTTAGTAGAGACGGGGTTTTACTATGTTGGCCAGGCTGGTCTCAAACTCCCGACCTCAGGTATCCACCTGCTTCAGCCTCCCAAAGTGCTGGGATTACAGGCGTGAACCACCATGCCTGGACAAATTATTTAAATTACAATTTTGATTGGCACCTCAAAGGGAAAATATGAGGTGCTGTGAGGGCATTCACCACCTAGCAGGAGAGCCTTTTCTTCCAAGGAAATATGTTGGACTTTTGCAGAAGCTCCAACACATCCAAGAACAGCAATTTCCCATGCACTGAAGCACCTTCTTGAAATCTCAGGGCTCCATGGAACAGAGTTCGAAAACTGCTCATTCATATTCCTCTGTAGTGGATGCTGTCATGTGCTACCCAGACTATGGCACTCGTTTTCCCACATCTCCCACTCCATCAAGTTGCTGAAGAATTTCAGCTGAGTCTCTCTCTGGCCACTATCCTGAGTTGAAGGGAGCCACTTAGCTCATGGTTACGCCTCCTTCCAGCAGTCTGCCTCCAATGACTGGTTGATGGGAGAGAAGAGTACAGAGGCCCGGACCCTCAGCCTCCATTTGAAACAACTCTGAAGGATTATCCCAGCTTTATTGTACCCCTTAGGATCAGATGAATCCTCCATTGCAGCAGCATTGCAGCCCAACTTCTGCCCAGTTATGCTTCTCACTGTCCTGTAATATGATTCCCCAGTAAACCCTCTGTAGGCAAATCTCCATCTCAGTCTCCTTAAAAGAGTACTTAAAACACTCTCTTATTACAGATGGTTAAAATAAGGACCAGAGTGGGGAAATGACCTACCTGAGGTCTCACAAGCCTGAACCTTCAGATCCTCTTCATAGTCTGTCACCACCCTGTGCCACAGTCCTACAACTTCCTGCTTTGACTTGCCCTGCCTGAGGCTAGAGGCAACAGCTGTAGTGGCCAGAATAGGTTCTCACTCCAATGGCTGGAGACCTTGGACAAGTCAATTCCCCTCTCTGGGGAGGTTAAGTATTGCCTGAGTTCAACATCTTCTCTCAAGTCTACCTCTGTGCAATGTGCCTGGTCCTGAGAAAAACCATGTCTCAGCTGGTGATGGCAGCAGAAATTCCTTCCGCCCATGTTTGAATCACCTCTGACCTCACAGTTGGATTATATTTGGAGTGGTGGTGGGGAGCTTTGAGTTCTGTCCCATTTCTGAGTTTCCAAACTCACATTTCAAGAAGGAACCTCTTTTCTTTTTCTTTCCCTTTTTTTTTTTTTTTTTTTTTTGAGACAGAGTCTTGCTCTGTCACCCAGACTGGAGTGCAGTGGCATGATCTCGGCTCACTGCAATCTCCGCCTCCCAGGTTCAAGCAATTCTCCTGCCTCAGCCTCCCGAGTAGCTAGGATTACAGGCGTGTGCCACCACGCCCGGCTAATTTTTGTATTTTTAGTAGAGACAGGGTTTCACCATGTTGGCCAGGCTGGTCTCGAATGCCTGACCTCGTGGTCCACCCACCTCGGCCTCCCAAAGTGCTGGAATTACAGGCATGAGCCACTGCGCCCAGCAGGAAGCTCTTTTCTTTGTTCATGCCAACATTATCAAGTACTTTATTGTGTCCCAGCCCCTGCTCATGCTGGCAGTACAGCAGTGAATAAGACAGACAGCTGTGGTCCTCATGGGCCTATAAACCCCAGTGGGAAAAATGAACATCACACAAATTCTTTTTTTTCTTTTTTTGAGATGAAGTCTCACTCTGTCACCTAGGCTTGAGGGCAGTGGCACAATCTCTTCTCACTGCAACCTCTGCCTCCTGGGTTCAAGCGATCCTCCCACCTCAGCCTCCTGAATAGCTGGGATTACAGGCGTGTGCCACCACGCCCGGCTAGCTTTTTGTATTTTTAGTAGAGGCAGGGTTTCACCATATTGGCCAGGTTGATCGTGACCTCAAGTGATCTGCCTGCCTTGGCCTCCCAGAGTGCTGGGATTACAGGCGTGAGCCACCACGTCCAGCTCGTCACACAAATTCTTGTGATAAGCCCTGGGGAAAGAAAGAGCACAGGGAGCTATGAGAAAGTACAGCCTACCCTGGACTTGAAGGATAAGAAAGGATCGGCCAAGGATGAGAGGGGAGAAAAGAGCATGGAGCAAAGATAACTTCTGGCAGAGGAAACAGCATGGGGAAAGGATTTGAAGCAGGAAGGAGAAGGCAGCCTTGTAGGGACAGAAGGAGCTGGGAGAACATAAGAAAGGCTGAGGCTGAGAAGAAAGCCCCAGGGCAGATCTAGCAGGACCTCACAGGGTACATCAGGAATTTTGGACTTTACCCTATGGGCAATGGGAAGTCTTCAAAGGAAATTTTGCTGTTTATTACAAAATAGTTTGTATTTATTAGAAGAAAGAGTGGAGAAAGTAGTAAGGCTTATTTAGGAACTTCTTTGTGCCAAGTAGCCCATGAAGTACATCACAGGCATGTTTTTCGTTTTTGTTTTAGTTTTTTTTTTTTGAGACAGGGTCTCTCTCAGTGGCACCATCACAGCTCACCGTAGCCTCGACCTCCTGGGCTCAAGCCATCCTCCTGCCTTAGCCTCCAAGTAGCTGGGATTACAGGTGCAAATTACCATGCCTGGCTAATTTTTTATTTTATTTTTTGCAGAGACGTTGGTCTTGCTATGTTGCCCAGGCTGATCTTGAACTCCTGTGCTCAAGCAATCCTCCTGCTTTCTCCTCCCAAAGTGCTGAGATTACAGGCGTGAGGCACCACACCCAGCCCGGCAGGATCTTATTTAATTTTCACTGCCGCACTAGATAGTAGAGCCCACTATTAGCTCCTTTTTTTTTTTTCCCAGATGGAGTCTTGCTTTGCTGCCCAGGCTGGAGTGCAGTGGAGTGATCTCGGCAACCTCCACCTCCCAGGTTCAAGCAATTCTCCTGCCTCAGCTTCCCAAGTAACCAGGATTACAGACGCCCACCACCACGCCCAGCTATTTTTTGTATCTCAGTAGAGATGGGGTTTCGCCATGTTGGCCAGGCAGGTCTTGAAACTTCTGACCTCAGGTGATCTGCCCAACTCGGCCTCCCAAAGTGCTGGGATTACAGGCATGAGCCATCACGCCCAGCATTTTTTTTCTTTTTTTTTTTTTTTGAGACGGAGTTTCGCTCTTGTTGCCCACACTGGAGTGTAATGGCACAATCTCGGCTCACCGCCACCTCTGCCTCCTGGGTTCAAGCGATTCTTCTGCCTCAACCTCACAAGTAGCTGGGATTACAGGCATGTGCCAACACACCCAGCTAATTTTGTATTTTTAGTAGAGATGGGTTTCTCCATGTTGGTCAGGCTGGTCTCGAACTCCCGACCTAAGGTAATCCGCCTGCCTCAGCCTCCCAAATTGCTGGGATTACAGGCCTGGCCTTTTTTTTTTTTTTTTTTTTAAGATGGAGTTTCGCTCGCTCTGTCGCCCAGGCTGGAGTGCAGTGGTGCGATCTCGGCTCACTGCAACCTCTGCCTCCCGCGTTCAAGTGATTCTCCTGTCTCAGCCTCTCGAGTAGCTGGGGCTACAGGCGCCTGCCACCAGGCCCGGCTAATTTTTATATTTTTAGTAGAGATGGAATTTCACTATGTTGGCCAGGCTGGTCTTGAACTCCCGACCTTGTGAGATGCACCCACCCCGGCCTCCCAAAGTGCTGGGATTACAGGCATGAGCCATCGCACTTGGCCTTTTTTTTTTTTTTTTTTTTTGAGATGGAGTCTTGCCCTTTCACCCACGCTGGAGTGCAGTGGCGCAATCTTGGCTCACTGCAACCTCTGCCTTCCAGGCTCAAGCCATTCTCCTTCCTCAGCCTCCCGAGTAGCTGGGATTACAAGCACGTGCCACCACCCCCGGCTAATTTTTGTATTTTTAGCAGAGACCAGGTTTCACCATGTTGCCCAGGCTGGTCTAGAACTCCTGAGCTCAAGCGATCCACCCACCTCAGCCTCCCAAAGTGCTGGGATTACAGGTGTGAGCCACCGTGCTCAGCCTATTATTTCCATTTTAAAGTGGATCCCAAACACCACCCAGAGGATCCATCTTCCTTCTTTAACCCTTACAAAGTGCTTCTGTTTTCTGAGGCATTTTTTTTTCTAAAATTATAATCATTTGTGTGGCTTCGTCATCTCCCCATTCAATTGGGGGTCCCAGGAAGGCAGGGATTTTTGTCTGGTATGTTCTCTACTGCATTTATCTCCAGAGCCTAGCACAGGGCCTGACATGTAGCAGGGGTTGAAGAAATAGGTGTGGAATACATGCTTGTATCCACCAGGATACCTGGGCTAGTTCTGGGCCCAGGTGGCAGTGCTTAAGAAACAATAGCCTCCTGCTGCTGTGGACATGGCCTCTGCTCTGGCTGTCTCTCCCTGCCTGGTTGTCTGTTAAATGGCCAGCTCTCAGATACTCAGCACCAGTCTGGTGTCGGGGAAAGAGCTTGGACTTTGGAACCAGACAAATGAGGCTCAAATCTGAGTGCAAAGCCATCTGGAATGAGGCAGAATTTAAATAAACAAGATCAAGTACCCGTATGGCTCTTGGTAACTTCCTTTAATTTCTTCATCTATAAAATGGGAACATTACCATCTACATAAAAAAAAATTATTGCTGGGCACGGTGGCTCATGCCTGTAATCCCAGCACTTTGGCAGGCTAAGGCAGGTGGATCACTTGAGGTCAGGAGTTTGAGACCAGCCTGGTCAACATGGTGAAACCCCCGTTTCTATTAAAAATACAAAAATTAGCTGGACTTGGTGGCAGGCACCTGTAGTCCCAGCTACTTGGGAGTCTGAGGTGGGAGAATAGCTTGAACTTGGGAGGTGGAGGTTGCAGTGAGCTGAGATGGCACCATTGCACTCCGCCCTGGGAGACAGAGTGAGACTCTGCCTTAAAAAAAAAAAAAATTGTCAGAATCAAATGAGAAAATGTTGGATTCCATAGGCCAGGCTTTAAAAAGAGAAAGAGAAAATGATTATAAAGTGCCTGTTTAGTTAAGTTCTTCTTTTCAGCAGAAGACAGAGTCAGTACCATTTTCTTAGATTCAAAGCCACAGGTTCCTCATCTATGAAATGGGAGTTGTGAGATAAAAGATAGTATAGAATTCCCACAACCTGGAATGCTCTTCTCCAGACAAGCTCTTTCTAAACCTGCAGTTTCACCTTTAACATCGTCTCATCAGAGAGTTCGGACCTGACCCCTGTTTCTCAGCCTCACCCTGCCCCTTCCCATTTCTTTTCTCTTCAACACGTTTCATAATCTTTATTGTTTCCTGCCTGTCTCCATGTTCACCGTTGTATCCCAATGTCTACCATATGCTAGCATAAGTGCTCAATAAATGTTTGTTGTTTTCATTACATTTTTTTTCTTCCCGTTTATTTTAGGTTCAAGGAGTCATTAAATATTTTGGCGGCAGAGTGGAGTGGCTCACACTGGTAATCCCAGCACTTTGGTAGGCTGAGGTGGGAGGATCGCTTGAGCCCAGGGGTTCAAGACCAGCCCCTGGTCTTGAATGAGACCCAGACTCTACAAAAAATAGAAAAATTAGCTGGAGGTGGAGGCACGTACCTGTAGTCCCAGCTACTTGGGGGGCTGAGGTGGGAGGATCGCTTGAGCCTGGGAGGTCGAGGCTGCAGTGAGCTGTGATTGCACCACTGCACTCCAGCCTGAGTGATGGAGTGAGACCATGTCTCAATATCTAAATATACACATACATATATAAATATAAATATATATATATATATATATTTTTTTTTTTTTGAGATGGAGTCTTGCTCTGTCGCCCAGGCTGGAGTGCAGTAGCACTATCTCAGCTCACTGCAAGCTCCACCTCCCGGGTTCATGCCATTCTCCTGCCTCAGCCTCCCTAGTAGCTGGGACTACAGGCGCCTGCCACCACGCCTGGCTAATTTTTTGTATTTTTAGTAGAGACGGGGTTTCACCTTGTTAGCCAGGATGGTCTCGATCTCCTGACCTTGTGATCCGCCCATCTTGGCCTCCCAAAGTGCTGGGATTACAGGCGTGAGCCACTGCGCCTGGCCTATATATATATATATTTTTTTTTAATCACTTATTTATGAGCCAAGACTGTTCTAGGCAATCCTAACCACAATCCTGAGACATAGGCAAAGTGAGGATTTTACCAATTTTTAGCTATGAAAGCTGAGGTCTAGCAATATTAACATTGCCCAGACATGTCCCAAGCAAATGAGCAGGAGTTCTAAACTCTCCAGAAAGTGCTCTTTCCACCCACCCTTCCACTGCCTTCCAAGGGAAGGAGCACTGCAGGCCCAGGTACTAGTCCAGGCACTGTCTTAATTTGTGGCTTTAAGATGTAAACAAGTCACTTCTTTCCCTGAAGGAAAATGTTAGTTTCCCCATCTCTAAAATGGGGAGAATCTTTGACCTGATCAGTGGTTAAGAATCAGCTGAGTTGACTGACATGTTGTGGTAAATTAAAAAATAATAATAAATTTTTTTTTAAAGAATCAGCTGAAATAATAGGCTGAAAGCATTTAATAAACTGAAATGCACTCACTTATGGAGGAGGTTTGTTTGTTTTTGAGACAGGGTCTCATTCTGTCGCCAAGGCTGGAGTGGCACGATCTCCTCTCACTGCAGCCTCCGCCTCCCAGGTTCAAGCAATTCTCAAGCTTCAGCCTCCCAAGTAGCTGGGATTACAGGTGTGCGCCACTATGCTCCACTAATTTTATATTTTTAGTAGAGATGGGGTTTCCCCATGTTGGCCAGACTGGTCTTGAACTCCTGATCTCAAGTGATCCACCCGCCTTGGCCTCCCAAAGTGCTGAGATTACAGGCGTGAGCCACTGCACCCTGCCGATGAAGGAATTTTTAAATATTAATATGCAGAATGAACATTCTTCCCAGAAGACACTGTGGGCTGGGGAAGCCAGGGAAGTTTCCTAGAAGTGGTGGCATTTCAGCTGGGCCTCCGGTGCTCCTGGGTAAGAATTTGGGGAAACAAATCTCAGAGCCAAAGTCACTGACCAACCAAAGAAGAACCCTCTAAGCCTCTTTTCCTGTTTCACATTGATATCTTCCTCCAATCTGCATTTCCCTGCCGCAATTTATTTTTTCCTTTCAAACCAAATTTATACAGTAGAATCTGCATATAATAAAATGCACACTTTTTTTTTTTTTTTTGAGACAGTCTCACTCTGTCACCCAGGCTGGAGGGCAGTGGCATGATCTTGGCTCACTGCAACCTCTGCCTCCCGAGTTCAAGCGATTCTCCTGCCTCAGCCTCCCTAGTAGCTGGGATTAACAGGCGACCGCCACCACGTCTGGCTAATTTTTTGTATTGTTAGTAGAGCCGGGGTTATACCATGTTGCCCAGGCTGGTTTCAAACTCCTGAGCTCAGGCAATCCGCCCGCCTCAGCTTCCCAAAGTGCTGGGATAAAAGGCGCGAGCCACCGTGCCCGGCCAAAACGCACTCATTTTAAATGCAGACATTTCCATGAGTTTTGAGAAAAGCATACGCCTATGCAACTACCATCCAAATCTAATTTCCTTGTGCTCCTTTGCAGTGAATATCCCATCCTGCTTTCTGGCCCCAGGCACCCACTATCAGCTTTCTGTTATTACAAATTAGTTTTGTTTTTGTTTTTGTTGTTATTCTTAATCCATTTAATTCTTTAGCAGATGACAAAGTTTTGCATTCAAAAATTAGCTTTTAAGTTTAGAACACAAACATAATGCAACAAAATGTATTAATTCACTAGTCTTAAGACAATATTGTCATTGTGGAGTGTTTGCTAATGAATGCAGAGGTCATTAGATAAATTGACAGTAACCTATTGAAGAAAAGAACTATAATAATCATAATTTACACATTTACTGAAGAGAGTTTGACCATTAATAAAAATTATACCTACACATCGGGTGTGGTGGTTTACATCTGCAATCCCAACTACTCAGGAAGCTGAGGTGGGAAAACTGAAGCTGACCCCAGGAGTTCCAGAAAAGCCTGGGCAATGTTGCAGGATTCCATTTCAAAAAAATTATACCGCACTTTGGGAGGCCGAGGCAGGTGGATCACAGTCGGAATTTGAGACTAGCCTGACCAACATGGAGAAACCCTGTCTCTACTAAAAATATAAAATTAGCCGGGTGTGGTGGCACATGCCTGTAATCCCAGCTACTTGGGAGGCTGAGCCAGGAGAAATCGCTTGAACCCAGGAGGCGGAAGTTGTGGTGAGCCAAGATCGTGTCATTGCACTCCAGCCTGGGCAACAACAGCGAAACTCCATCTCAAAAAAAAAAAAAAAATTATACCACACTTTGGGAGGCCAAGGTGGGTGGATCACCTGAGGTTGGGAGTTCGAGACCAGCCTGGCTAACAAGGTGAAACCCCGTCTCTACTAAAAATACAAAAAATTAGCCGGGCGCGGTGGCAGGCGCCTGTAGTCCCAGCTACTCGGGAGGCTGAGGCAGGAGAATGGCGTGAACCCGGGAAGCGGAGCTTGCAGTGAGCCGAGATTGCGCCACTGCAGTCCGCAGTCCGGCCTGGGCGACAGAGCGAGACTCCGTCTCAAAAAAAAAAAAAAAAAAAAAAAAAAAAAAAAAAAAAATTAGCCGGGCGTGGTGGCACATGCCTGTAATCCCAGCCACTCAGGAGGCTGAGGCAGGAGAATAACTTAAACCCAGAAGGCGGAAGTTGCGGTGAGCTGAGATTGTGCCATTGCCCTCCAGCCTGGGCAATAAGAGCAAAACTCTGTCTCAAAAAAAAAAAAAAAATTATACCTAAAAAACTTACAATAAGTACATAGATAACGTGATCACTTCTTGAGAAATGATGACATATAAATGGCAATATTTTCTATTAACAAATATTTGTTATTATTCTTATTTTTTGAGACAGGGTCTCACTCCACCGCCCAAGCTGGAGTGCAGTGGCACGATCATGGCTCACTGCAGCCTCAACCTCCCTAGCTCAAGTGATCCGCCCACCTTGGCCTCCCAAAGTGCTGGGATTACAGGCCTGAGCCACCACACCTGGCCTCATTGTGTAATCTTTTGTGTTTGTCTTCTTCGTTACCATAAAGCTTTTGAAGCTAATTCATGTTGTCGTGTGTATCCATAGTTCATTCCTTTTTGTTGCTGAGCACAATACTATTGTATGGATATATTACAATTCATTTATTCATTCATGAGTTGATAGACATTTGAGTTGTTTCCAATTTTGGCTATTATGAGTAAACCTGCTATTTATGTGGACATACCCAGCTATTTTTATTTTTTATTTTTTGTAGAGATGAGGGTCTCCCTATGTTGCCCAGACTGGTCTAGACCTCTTGGGCTCCAGTGATCCTCCTGCCTTGACCTCCCAAAATGCTGGGGCTACAGAGATGAGCCGCTGCACCCAGCTCCAGTTCCAGTTGCTCTGCATCTTTGCCAACACTTGGTATTGTCAGTCTTTTGACAGTCTTGTTGACATTGGTCTAGTGATTAAAACCCTATGCACTGGAGCCAGAGTTCAAATTCCAGCTCTACCATTTGTTGTATGACTTTAGGTGAGTCACTTCACCTCTGTTAGTCTCAGTTTACTCTTCTGGGAAAAGGGATAATAGTTCATAAGATCCTTATGTCTATTCAGTTAAATCAGTGGTTCTTACTTAGGGATGATTTTGTCCTCACGGGATATTTGGCAAAGTTTGGAGACATTTTTGGCTGTTACAGGGGGCCTCTGGCATCTCAGTGGGTAGAGGCCAGGGAAGCTGCTAAACATCCTCCAATGCATAGGGTGGTCCCTTTGAACACAGAGTTATCCAGTCCAAAAAGTCAATGGCCCTGAGCTTGAGAAATTCTGAATTATATAATGCACGTAATGTGTTCAATACAACACCTGGCACATATCAACTGCTTAGTAAATGGAAAACAAATAGACTTTGGGGAAAAAACGTGTTTTCAGGAGGAGCAATCTGAGTTTGATGGATCCAAATCATCATGGTCCTTTTCCCAAATATCTACCACAAGGCTGTTATGACGTGAGGAGGCTCACAACAAAGAACAACTGGTTTTATCACATAAATACCACGGAAACCAAAAAGTGAGCAATATGTTCAAGACAGCAGACCTGTAGCCTTGGACCTTGGACTCCTCTGTGTGGGGGAGGATGGGAAGGCTCGCACGTTCCATGCCTCCTCCCCCGCCAGGCAGCATCTCCCCTGGCTGGAGTTCCAGCTGTTGTCTGGGTCAGCGCAAACAGAGACCTTTGGGCTGCCCAAGATCCAGGATTTACAGCCCACAGACTCCTCCCAGTTTACCGGAGTGTTTGGAAGACATTCCAGGTCAGCAGGAATTAAGTAGGGCCCCCGAGGGGAGTGTGTGTCACGTGGTCTGACGACACAGCCAGGATGAACTGGAGAAGGGCAAAGCATAGTCCAGAGGAAAGTGCAGTCAAAGCAGAATTGATTCAAGAGAGTCAAGCATTTAGCAACATTCGTTGTGCACCTACTGTGCCAGCCTCTTCCTCTCCTACGTGGGAGGCCCTTTGGAATAGAGGTTAGGAGGACAGTCTCTATGTAGAGGACATTTGAATCCCAGCCCTGCCAGCACTAGGTGTGTGTCCTTTGCAAGAAACATCATCTCTCTGAAACACATGGTATACATGCAATAAATTATGGGTGTACGTATGTCTCAGTCCTCACAAAAAGATATTTATGGTAAGAGCTATTACCATTCCTATTTTACAAAAGAATAAACCAAGGCTCAAAGAGGTGAAGGACTTTGTCCAATGTCATAGGACTAATTAAGTAGCAGAGGATCACTGTGACAGGCTTTTAGGGAGATGGAAAGATGAGTAAGATGGAGTCCCTGACTTCAACAAGCTTGGGGTCTCATAGAGGAGATAAAGGCAGGTAAAAGTCTAATTTCCAGCAAAGAGACAATGAGAGGTGCTAATAAAGAGCATTCAGCGGCCAGGCGCAGTGGCTCACGCCTGTAATCCCAGCACTTTGGGAGCCCGAGGCGGGTGAATCACCAGGTCAAGAGATCAAGACCATCCTGGCCAACATGGTGAAACCCCGTCTCCACTAAAAATACAAAAATTAGCTGGGGGTGGTGGCACACACCCGTAGTCCCAGCTACTTGGGAGGCTGAGGCAGGAGAATTGCTTGAACCCAGGAGGCGGAGGTTGCAGTGAGCTGAGATTGCACCACTGCACTCCAGCCTGGCAACACAGAGAATCTCTGTCTCAAAAATAATAATAATAATAATAATAATAATAATAATAATAATAAATAAAGAGCATTCAGGTGTGGTTAAGGTACGACTGAGGTCAATTCCAGCTGGTGGCAATCAGGAAGGCTTCACAGAGGAAGTGGTGGCTCAGCTGGTCTTTGAAGGTGAGTCAGATTGAAAGCACAGTCAGAGACTGAAGTTCCAAGAAGTGTGACCATTGTGTTGGGCCATAGGATGTGTACATGTCAGGGTGGTCACAGATCTGGCAGGGAAAGTTGATAAATTGGGCCAAGATTATTTGGTGAAAATGGGCTGGGATTACAGGCCCGATTCTTTATAATAATATTTGAGTCTTGCTGGGCATGGTGGCTCACACCTGTAATCCCAGCACTTTGGGAGGCCGAGGTGGGCAGATCACCTGACGTCAGGAGCTCAAGGCCAGCCTGGTCAACATGGCAAAACTCCATCTCTACTAAAAACACAAAAATTAGCTGGGCATGGTGGCGTGTGCCTGTAATCCCAGCTACTCTGGAGGCTGAGGCAGGAGAATTGCTTGAACCCAGGAGGCAGAGGTTGCAGTGAGCCAAGATCATGCCACTGCACTCTAGCCTAGGCAACAATAACAAAACTTCATCTCAAAAAATAATAAAATAAAAATAATATTTGAGTCTCTAGATCCAGCTATGCCTGAAGTCTTCACCTATACTATTCAATTCCATAAGCAAAACATTCTCTTTTATGAGTAAGACAGGTTTGGTTGGGTTTTTTGTCACTTGCAGCTGGAAGAATGCTGACTGATACAAAGAGTCTCAAATCTCATCCTAAGGAATTCTACATAGGTTCTAGAAAGACATGAAAGGGAGAGGGGAAAATAGCCAGTGAGAAGGAAAAAGATGTGATAATTACTGAAACAAGCTCCCTAGAGGGCAGAAAGAATTGGAAGTAGAAGAGAAGGCAGGCCGGGTGCGGTGGCTCATGCCTGTAATCCCAGCACTTTGGGAGGCCGAGGCGGGTAGATCATTTGAGCTCAGGAGTTCGAGACCAGCCTGGCCAACATGGTGAAACCCCGGCTCTACTAAAAATACAAAAATTAGCCGGGTGTGGTGGCTCACACCTGTAGTCCCAGCTACTTGGGAAGCTGAGGTAGGAGGATTGCTTGAGCCCAAGAGTTTGAGACCAGCATGGACAACACTCCATCTCTACAAAAACAAGAAAATTAACTCGACATGGTGTTGTACACATGTTGTTCCAGCTATTGAGGAGGCTGAGGCTAAAGCGGAAGGATTGTTTGGGCCTGGGAGGTCCACGCAGCAGTGACCTGTGATTGTGCCACTGCACTCCAGCCTGGGCAAGAGAGCGAGACTCTGTCTCAAAAAAAATACAATAAAATCATGTTATCAGTGAATAGTATGAGCATGGAAAGATAGATCCAGCATATTGTTTAGTGATAAACCAAGTTACAAAACAGTATGGACTATATGATTTCTTTTTTTCTTTTTCTTTTTTTTTTTTTTTTTTTTGAGATAGAGTCTCACTTTGTCACCCAGGCTGGAGTGTAGTGGCACCATCACAGCTCACTGCAGCCTCGACCTCACGGGCTTAGGTGATCTTCCCACCTCAGCTCCTGAGTAGCCGGCAGGCACCACCACACTCAGCTAATTTTTTGTATTTTTATGTAGAGATGGGGTTTTGCCATGTTGCCCAGGCTCAAACTTCTGGCTCAAGTCATCTGCCTGGGCTGCCCCGGTATGATTTCTTTTGTTTGTTTAAAAATATACATATTCAGTTAATAGGGTTGATAATAAAGAAAATAAATAAGAAAAAACAAAAATAAATACATAAAAAATAAAAATAGATTTATATGTAGAACCAGGATGGTGGCACAGACCTGTAGCCCCAGCTACTCAGGAGGCTGAGATGGGAGGATCACTTGGGTCCAGATGTTCGAGTCCCGCCTGGTCAACATAACAAGACCATGTCTCTAAATATTATATATATATATTTATATTTTTATATGTCTGTAAGAAAAATACCCAAAAGACATTGAAACAGAGTATCATTACCTCTTTCTCCTTTCTTCTTTGTTCATTAACCCTCAAGTTTGTTTAGGTATTCACCTTTCAGAAAAGGTGACCACAGCCAGAGGTTAGCTGGAGGCTTAATTCTAAGTCAATTATGGTAATGCCAGTGATTGGGCTAGGGGCATTCACGTGAGGGAGTTTTGGCCAATGAGATGGGAAAGGGAGTCCGCTGGGAAGCCTGAGGGAAGAGTTTCCTGGTTTAAAAAACAACAAAGACGCTGGGCGGCGGTGGCTCACGCCTGTAATCCCAGCACTTTGGGAGGCCGCGGTGGGCGGATCACAAAGTCACAAGTTCAAGACCAGTCTGGTCAACATAGTGAAACCCCGTCTCTACTAAAAATACAAAAAAATTAGCCGGGTGTGGTGGTGGGCGCCTTTAATCACAGCTACTCGGGAGGCTGAGGCAGGAGAATCCCGTGAACCTGGGAGGTGGAGTTTGCAATGAGCCGAGATTGCGCCGTTGCTCTTCAGCCAGTGTGACAGTGTGAGACTCTGTCTCAAAAAAACCAACAACAAAGAGAGGCAGGGCACGGTGACTCACGCCTGTAATCCCAGCACTTTGGGAGGCCGAGGCAGGCAGATCATCTGAGGTTAGGAGCTCCAGACTAGCCTGGCCAACATGGTGACCTCTTCTCTACTAAAAATTAGCCGGGCGGTGGCGCACGCTTGTAGTCCCAGCTACGCGGGAGGCTGAGGAGGGAGGATCGTTTGAACCCGGGAAGTTGAATCACGGAGGTTGCAGTAGCTGAGATCCCAACACTGCACTCCAGCCTAGTTAACAAAGTGAAACTCTGTATCAAAAAAACAAACAGAAAAAAACCAAAAAAACAAAACAACAACAACAACAACAAAAACAATGCTGGGCCTATAGTCCCAGCACTTTGGGAGGCCAAGGCGGGTGGATCACCTGAGGTCAGGAGTTTGAGACCAGCCTGGCCAACATGGTGAAACCCTGTCTCTACTAAAAATACAAAAAATTAGCCGGCCATGGTGGCCGGCATCTGCAATCCCAGCTACTCGGGAGGCTGAGGCAGGAGAATCACTTGAACCCAGGAGAAGGAGGTTGCGGTGAGCCGAGACTGCGTCATTGCACTCCAGTCGGGGCAATAGAGCGAGACTCCGTCTCCAAAAAAAAAAAAAAGGCCAAAAGTGGAAACAACCCAAATATCCACCAACCATGAATGGGTAAAAAATATATAGTATGTCTATATAATGGAAGATTATTCAGTAATATAAAGAAATGAGCTACTGATACATTTTGCAACATGAATGAACCTTGAAAACATTATGCTAAGTAAAAAGAAGTCAGCACAAAATACCACATACTTTATGATTCCATTTATATGAAATGACCAGAATAAGCAAATTTATAGGGACAGAAAATAGGAGGGTTTTTTTGTTTTGTTTTGTATTTTAGAGAGAATCTCATTCTGTCACCCACCTGAAGTGTGCTCATCATAGCATAACACTGCAGCTTCAAACTCCCAGGCTCAAGTGATCCTCCTGCCTCAGCCTCCTGGGTACCTGGGACACCATGCCTGGCTAATTTTTTTTTTCTTTTTTTTAGTATGTTTTGTAGAGACAGGGTTTTGCTGTGTTTCCCAGGCTGGTCTCGAACTTCTGGGCTCAAGCCTCCCAAAGCAAGCCAAAAGGCTCAAGCCTCTTGTCTCAGCCTCCCAAAGTGCTGGGATTATAGGCATAAACCACCAAAAAGTAGATTAGCTGTTGCCTGGGGTGGAGGGGAGGAGAGTTGCGGAAAACTAGAGAATGACAGATAATAGGTGCTAAATTTCCGTGGCGGATGATAAAAATGTTCTAAAACTAAGTGTGGTGATTGTTGCACAATTCTGTGAACATACTACAAACCATTAACTTTTTTTTTCTTGATACATGAAAAGCTGCACTTATTTAACATATACAACTAGATGAGTTTGGGATGTATATTTGATGGGTGAATTATATGGTATGTGAATTGTATCTCAATAAAGATATTATTTTAAAAAGAGAGGAAGGTATTTCCAGGAATCGGTAGCCCTTCTTTGTTCCATTACAATCTAGTGGAGCTGGATGTCATGTCCTCAGGCAGTTCTTGGAACTATGAAAACAATCTTTTAACCACGGAAGAATGAAAAATGGCAACGTGACAAGAATGGAAAAACAGAGAATTCAGGTCCTTGATAAAATCTTGGAGCTACTGAAAGAACCAATTCTAGAGCTTCTCTATTTTGGGGCTTCTTAATATAAGACGTAATAAATTTTTCTTAAATAATTCTGACATATTTTATTTCTAGTAATTTATTGAGGTAAAATCCACATAACCATAAAGTTAACTTTTGGGGGAGGGGTATGATAGGGTCTCACTCGGTTGCCCAGGCTGGAGTGCCATGGCACAATCATAGCTCATTGCAGCCTCAAACTCCTGGGCTCAAGCAGTCCTCCGATCCCAGCCTCCTTAGTAGTTAGAAATACAGGCACACATCACCAAGCCCAACTAATTAAAATTAACCATTTTGGCCACGTGCAGTGGCTCATGCCTGTCATCCCAACACTTTAGAAGGTCGAGGAGGGAGGATCACTTGAAGCCAGGAGACCAACCTGAAGAGCAAAACAAGATCCGTTGCAAAAAAAAAAAAAAGCCAGGCATGGTGTCATGCACCTGTAGTTCCAGCTACTTGGGAGGCTGAGGCAGGAGGATCCCTTAAGCCTAGGAGTTTGAAGCTGCAGTGAACTAAGATCTCACCACTGCACTCCAGCCTGGGCAGCAGAGTGAGATTCTGTCTTAAAAAATAAATTAACCATTTTAAAGTAAACAATTCAGGGGTCTTTAGTACAGTCACAATGCTGTGCAACCACCACCTCTATCTAGTTCCAAAACATTTTCATTATTCCACCAATTTGCATTTTGTCCCTGTAGATTTATCTTTTTTTTTTTTTTTTTTTTCTCGAGACAGAGTCTCACTCTGTTGCCCAGGCTGGAGTGCAGTGGTGCGATCTTAGCTCACTGCAACCTCAGCCTCCCAGGTTCACGGGATTCTGGTGCCTGAGCCTCCAGAGTAGCTGGGATTACAGGCATGTGCCACCACACCCAGCTAATTTGTGTATTTTTAGTAAAGACGGGGCTTCACCATGTTGGCCAAGCTGGTCTTGAACTCCCGGCCTCAAGTGATCTGCCTGCCTTGGCCACCCAAAGTGCTGAGATTACAGGTGTAAGCCACCACGCCGGCCTGATTTATCTATTCTGAATGCCTCATATAAATAGAATTACGCAGTGTATGATCTCTTGTGCCTGTCTTCCTTCATTTAGCATAAAATTTTTTGAGGCTTATTTAGATCATAGCAGGTATCAGCACTTCATTCTTTTTTATGTCTAAACAATATTCTTTTGTATGTATTTGCTACAATTTGTGTATGAGCCATCCATTGATGGACACTTTGGCTATTTTGACTAGTGCTGCTATGAAAAAGTGTGTACAAATAATTGTTGGAGTACATTTTTCCAATTATTTCAGGTGTATGCCTAGGAATGGAATTGCAGGGTTATATGGTAATTCTATGTTTAACTTTTTTTTTTTTTTTTTTTGAGACGGAGTCTCTCTCGCCCAGGCTGGAGTACAGTGGGGCCATCTTGGCTCACTGAAACTTCTGCCTCCCGGGTTCAAGCGATTCTCGTGCCTCAGCCTCCCGAGTAGCTGGGACGATAGGCACACACCACCACACCCAGCTAATTTTTGGTATTTTTTTTTAGTAGAGCCCAGCTTCCATGAGGTCAAACTCCTGACCTCAAGTGATCTGCCCACCTCAGCCTCCTAAAGTGCTGGGATCACAGGTGTGAGCCACTGTGTCTGGCCGTCTATGTTTAACTTCTTGAGAAACTGCTCAAATGTTTTCCACAGAGGCTGAGCCATTTGGCCTTCCCACCAGCAGTTATTATTATTATTATTTTAATTGTTAAAGCCATCCTAATGCATTTGAAGTGGTACTTCATTGTTGTTGATTTTGTTTTTACTTGCAGCTAAAAACATATAAATTGATACAGGTGTTAAAAGTGGTAGAATTATGGTTGTTTAAAATATTTTCTTCATTTTGATTATCTATATTTTGTAATTTTTCTGTAATCATACTAATATTTATTAGGTTCTTACAGTGTATCAGTACTAACGCTAATATACAATGTACTAAGCATTTTATATACATAATATCACTTATTTCTTATTTCTCACAACAAATCTATAAGACAAGTAAAAACTAAGGGACAGGGAGGAAAAGCAACTTACTCCAGGACACACAGCATGTTTTAAGCATAGGGTCTAGGATTTTTTCCTAATTAAACTTTTAATTTTGAGATAATTATAGCTTCACATGCAGCTATAAGAAATAATATAGGCCAGGCAAGGTGGCTCACGCCTGTAATCCCAGCACTTTGGGAGGCTGAGGTGGGCTCATTTGAGCCCAGGAGTCATAGACCAGCCTGGGCAGCATAGGGAGACTCCATCTCTACAAAAAATGTTTTAAAATGAGCCAGGAGTGGTGGCACGCGCCTGTGTTCTTAGCTACTTGGGAGGGTGAGGTGGGAGGATAGCTTGAGCCCAGGAGGCCGGGGCTGCAGTGAGCCATGATTGTGCCACTGCACTCCAGCTTCGGTGACAGAATAAGACCCTGTTTCAAAAAAGGAAGGAAGGAAGGAAGGGAGGGAGGGAGGGAGGGAGGGAACAAAGAGATCCTGTGTACTCTTTACCTAGTTTCCCCCGATGGTAACTTCTTGAAAAAATACAACACAGTATCACAACCAAGATATTCACATTGATACAGTCAAGACACAGAGTATTTCCAACACTACCAGGATTCCTCATATTGACCTTTCAATAGCCAACCCCACTTCCTCCTGCCTCTACCTCCTCCTTTACACTGGTAATTCTGTCTCCATTTTTATAATTTTGTCATTTCAAGAATTTTATATAAATAAATCATACAGTGTTTAATCTTTTGAGACTGGCTTTTTTTCACTCATCATGATTCTCTGGAAATTCATCCAGATTGTTCCAAGTATTCATATTTGTTCTCTCTCTTTTTTTTTTTTTTTTTTTTGAGACAGGGTCTGGCTTTGTCACCCAGGCTGGAGTGCAGTAGCGCAATCAGAGCTCACTGGCATCACCGACCTCTCTGCCTCAAGTGATCCTGCCACTTCAGCCTCCCGAGTAGCTGGGACTACAGGTGTGTGCCACCATGCCCAGCTAATTTTTGTAATTTTTTGTACAAGTGGAGTCTCCCTGTGTTGCTCAGGCTGGCCTTGAGCTCCTGGGCTCAAGTGATCCTCCCACCTCAGCCTCCCAAAGTGTTGAGATTACAGGCATGAGCCACAATGCCCGGCCTCGTTTCTTTTTATTTCTGGGTAATACTCCATGCTGAGTGGTATTCTGTGGATGTACCATGGTTTGTTTAACCATCCACCTATTGAAGAACATCTGGATTGTTTCCAGTTTGGGGATACTACCAATAAAACTGCTTTAAACATTCAACTACAGGTTTTTGTCTTAATGTAAGTCTTCATTTCTCTGGGATAAATGCTCAGGATTGCAATTGCCAGGTTGTATGGTAGCTGTGTGATTCTTTTTTTTTTTTTTTTTTTTTTTTTTGAGATGGAGTTTTACTTTTGTCGCCCAGGCTGGAGTGCAATGGCAGGATCTTGGGTCACTGCAACCTCCTTCTCCTGGGTTCAAGCGATTCTTCTGCCTCAGCCTCCTGAGTAGCTGGGATTACAGGCTCCCACCACCACTCCCAGCTAATTTTTGTATTTTTACTAGAGATGGGGTTTCACCATGTTGGCCAGGCTGGTCTCAAACTCCTGACCTCAGGTGATCCACCTCCCTCAGCCTCCCAAAGTGCTGGGATTACAGGCACAAGCCACTGTACCCGCCTATGCGGTTCATTTTTTAAGAAACTGACAGGCTAGCCACGGTGGCTCACGCCTGTAATCCCAGCACTTTGGGAGGCCGAGGCAGGTGGATCACCTGAGGTCAGGAGTTCAAGACCAGCCTGGCCAACATGGTGAAACCCCGTCTCTACTAAAAATACAAACGTTAGCCGGGCATGGTGGTGAACGCCTGTAATCCCAGCTACTCAGGAGGCTGAGGCAGGAGAATCACTTGAACCTGGGAAGCACAGGTTGCGGTGAGCCAAGATTCCGCCACTGCACTCCAGTCTGGGCGATAGAGCGAGACTCTGTCTTAAAAAAGAAAAAGAAAAAGAAACTGACAAAGTTTTCCAGAGTGCAGGGCCCAGGATTTTAATCACACTATTCTACTGCTTATAAATTAACCTATAAAATCTTTTATTTTTAAAAGAATAAAAAGAAATTTTCTTCCTGTTATGGCTGTGATGAACTTTAGTAAGCATACAGTAAACAAAACAAAACAAAACAAAACAAAAAAAAAAACAGCAATATAAGTTATTTTTTATTTTAAAAACTCTTCACAGGACACTTACACATTGAAATACATACAGCCAAGGGCTGCTGAGCTGTTGGCCTTCCGGAAGCTTAAGCACTTCATCTTTTCTCTGGCATGTGGTCTCTGTGGGTCCTCAGATGCCAGGATCACATGTTCGCTGCTCACTGAGCTCTTAGGAAGCCCCTGTGCTACCCTGTAGGCAGAAATTATCCTTTTTGAATCAGGTAAGTAACAGAAACCTCCTCAGCTTTAAGCTAGAAAGGGAACTCTCTTTCTGAAGGTACAGGAGGTGCAGCTGACCCATGCAAAGGACTGGAGTTAGGAAATGGAGAGTTCTGCAGATCCAATCAGCCAGCCCAGGGGGCCAGTCCCATGGTGCAAGTGTAGTTGCAGGCAAACAAAATAAGATCTTGGGCTCAGGAGTCCAACAACTTGAGTTGAAATCCTGGTTCTACCACTTACAAGCCATGTGACCCTAGGCAAGTTACTTAACCTCTCAGACCCCAGTTTCCTTATCTTAAAATGGGGTAATAAGCCTGGGCAACATAGTGAGACTTTGTGTCTCTCTAAAAAAAAAAAAAAATTTAGCCAGGCATGGTGGCACCCACCTATGGTCCCAGCTACTTGGGAGGCGGAGGTGAGAGGAACACTTGAGCCAGGGAGCTTGAGGCTGCAGTGAACCATGATTGCACCACTGCGCCCCACCAGGGTGACAGAGCAAGACCCTGTCTAAAATAAAATAAAATAAAATAAATAAAATAAAATAGAATGGGGTAATAATTGCATCTACAGTATTAGGTTCATATGGAGATTAATGAGTTGATGCATATAAAAAATGCTTTAAAGGAGTCAGGCAGGCCGGGCGCAGTGGCTCATGCCTGTAATCCCAGCACTTTGGGAGGCCGAGGCGGGCGGATCACCTGAGGTCGGAAGTTCGAGACCAGCCTGACCAACATGGAGAAACCCCGTCTCTACTAAAAATATAAAATTAGCTGGGCATGGTGGTGCATGCCTGTAATCCAAGCTACTCAGGAAGCCGAGAGAGGAGAATCGCTTCAACCCAGGAGGCAGAGGTGGCGGTGAGCCAAGATCGCGCGCCATTGTACTCCAGCCTGGGCAACAAGAGGGAAACTACGTCCCAAAAAAAAAAAAAGAGAGAGAGAGAGAAAAAAGGCCGGGCGCAGTGGCTCACGCCTGTAATCCCAGCACTTTGGGAGGCCAAGGCGGGCGAATCACAAGGTCAGGAGATCGAGACCATCCTGGCTAACACGGTGAACCCCCGTCTCTACTAAAAAAAAATACACAAAAATTAGCCGGGCGTGGACTCCATCTCAAAAAAAAAAAAAAAAATAGGCAGAGTGGCTCATGCCTGTAATTCCAGGTACTTGGTAGGCTGAGGCAGGAGGATCCCTTGAGCCCAGGATCAAGTACGAAGTGAGCTATGATTGTGCCACTGCATTCCAGCCTGGGTGACAGAGCAAGACCATTTCTCTTTTTTTTTCTTTTTTTTTCTTTTTGAGACGGAGTCTCTCTGTCGCCCAGGCTGGAGTGTGCAGTGGCGCAATCTCGGCTCACTGCAAGCTCCGCCTCCCGGGTTCACAGCATTCTCCTGCCTCAGCCTCCCGAGTAGCTGGGATTACAGGCGCCCGCCACCACGCCCGGCTAATCTTTTGTATTTTTTTAGTAGAGACGGGGTTTCACCATGTTAGCCAGAATGGTCTGGATCTCCTGACCTCGTGATCCGCCCGCCTCAGCCTCCGAAAGTGCTGGGATTACAGGCTTGAGCCACCGCGCCTGGCTGACCCTTTCTCGAAAAAAACAAAACAAAAAAACAAGTTCCTGGCTGGGCGCAGTGGCTCAAGCTTTTAATCCCAGCACTTTGGGAAGCCAAGGCAGGCGGCGGATCACCTGAGGTCAGAAGTTCAAGACCAGCCTGACCAACATGAAGAAACCCCGTTTCTACTACAAAAATAGAAAATTTTCCCGGCGTGGTGGCGCCTGCCTGTAATCCCAGCTACTCTGGAGGCTGAGGCAGGAGAATCACTTGAACCCAGGAGGCGGAGGTTGTGGCAAGCCGAGATTGTGCCACTGCACTCCAGCCTGGGCAACAAGAGTGAAACTCCGTCTTAAAAAAAAAAAAAAGTTCCTGTCATGTAGCAAGTGCTAATGCTAGGTATACAGTATTATTATTATTCCAGGATTAAATGAGAAGGCACATAAATTGCAGCACAGTAATGGCAAGTGTTCAGTATACATTAGCTAAATGTTAGCTTTCAGTATTTTTGAACAGCTTTATTGAGATATAGTTCATATACTATACAAATGCACATTTCATTGCTTCTTAGAATGTTGAGTTGTGCAACTGTCACCACAATCAACTTTAGAACATTTTGATTACCCTCAAAATAACCCCTGTGCCACTTAGCCATCACTCCCCCACCCCTTACATCCCTCCAGCCCTAGGCAACCACTGATATACTTTCTGTTCCTATAGATCTGCCTATTCTGGACATTTCATATGCCTCATTCCTTTTTATTGTTGAATAATATTCCATATGTGGATATACCACAAGTATTAATTTTTATAATCAATAATCCATGCAGTGGCTGAACATGGTGGCTCACGCCTGTGATCCCAGCACTCTGGGAGGCTGAGGCCAGTGGATCACAAGGTCAGGAGTTCGAGACCAGCCTGGCCAATATGGTGAAACCCTGTCTCTACTGAAAAATACAAAAAATTAACCGGGTGTGGTGGCACATGCCTGTAGTCCCAGCTACTTGGGAGGCTGAGGCAAGAGAATGGCGTGAACCCAGGAGGCAGAGCTTGCAGTGAGCCGAGATCGCGCCACTGCACTCCAGCCTGGGTGACACAGCGAGACTCTGTCTCAAAAAATAAATAAATAAATAAATAATTCACACAGTGATCTTGCCACTGCACACCAGCCTGGGCAACAAACTGAGACTCTATCTCTAAAAGTATAATAATACTCTGAGTGCAGAGGCTTATGCCTGTAATGCCAGCACTTTGGGAGGCTGAGGCAGGCAGATCAAGTGAGGCCAGGAATTCAAGACCAGCCTGGGTAACATGGCGAAACCCCATCTCTACTACAAATACAAAAATTAGCTGGGCATGGTGGTGCATGCCTGTAATTCCAGCTACTCCAGAAACTAAGGCACGAGAATTGCTTGAACCCAGGAGGTGGAGCTTGCAGTGAGCTGTGATTGTACCAGTGCACGGCACTTCAGCCTGGGCAACAAAAATGAGACTGTCTCCAAAAAAAGAGAAAAAAGTAATAATAATAATAATGATTCAACCACATCCCTTGAATTAGTTTCTTATAGCTGTTGCAATAAATTACCACAAATTTAGTGACTTAAAACAACAGAAATATACTCCCCTGCAGTTCCGGAGGCCAGAAGTGTATAATAAGTCTTAAGGGGCTGAAATCAAGGCATTGGCAGGGCTGGTTGCTTCTAAAGACTCCAGGGAAGAACTATGCCTTGCCTCTTCCAGCGACTGGTGGCTGTTGGATCCCTCAACTTGAGTTTGCATCACTCCAATCTCTGCTTTCATCATCTCATTGCCTTCTCTTCTGCAGTCAAATCCTTCTCTACTTCCCTCTTATAAGGATATGTATGATTACATTTAGGGCCCACCTGGATAATCCAGGATAATCTCCCTATCTCAACATTCTTAACTGAATCCCTTCTGCAAAGCAATTATGTTATATATAAGGTAACACTGACAGGTTCCAGAGATTAGGGCTTGAGCATCATTGAGAGGGATTATTCAGGCTACCACTCTCCTTGATTTAAAATGTCTTTTGGCTGGGCACAGTGGCTCACGCCTGTAATCCCAGCACTTTGGGAGGCCAAGGCGGGCGGATCATGAGGTCAAGAGATTGAGACCATCCTGGCCAACATGGTGAAACCCCATCTCTACTAAAAATACAAAAATTAGCCGGGCATGGTAGTGGGCACCTGTAGTCCCAGCTACTCAGGAGGCTGAGGCAGGAGAATCGCTTGAACCTGGGAGGTGGAGGTTGCAGTGAGCTGAGATCGCGCCACTACACTCCAGCCTGGTGACAGAGTGAGACTCCATCTCAATAAATGAATAAATAGATAAATAAATAAACAAAATGTCTTTTCTCTTCTAACACCAGGAAATGAATCAAGTGATCAATAGGATAACAGTGATACAACCAGCCTGGTGCTTCTGTCTATGATAGTTGTGCTTTGCTTTTTTTTGTTTTTTTAAGTCAGTACATTTTTATTCAAGGAATTTCATGTTGTGATTTTTTCCCACTGTCCACCAAGGTCACTATAGATCCTCTAAAGAGCTGGAGTCAAAATTTATCTTCAAGTTAGCCCTTTTTAATGGAACTGAGGCATATTTTAATCTAGTTGTCCTGTCAGCCCATAATTCTTTTATTTTGGCTTCTGTCATCTCCTTTTAATGTGGATATAGTAGCTGGGCACAGTGGCTCCTGCCTGTAATCCCAGCACTTTGGGAGGCTGAGGTGGGTGGATTATCTGGGGTCAGGAGTTCGAGACCAGCCTGGCTAACATGGTGAAACCCCATCTCTACTAAAAATACAAAATTAGGCTGGGCGTGGTGGCTCACGCCTGTAATCCCAGCACTTTGGGAGGCCAAGGCAGGCGGATCACCTGAGGTCAGGAGTCCAAGACCAGTCTAGCCAACATGGTGAAACCCCGTCTCTACTAAAAATACAAAAATTAGCTGGGTGTGGTGTTGGGAGTCTGTAGTCCCAGCTACTCAGGAGGCTAAGGCAGGAGAATCACTTGAACCTGGGAGGTGGAGGTTGCAGTCAGCTGAGATTGCGCCACTGCGCTCCAGTCTGGGTGACAGAGCGAGACTCCGCCTCAAAAAAAGAAAAAAAAATTAGCTGGGCATGGTGGCACATGCCTATAATCCCAGCTACTCAGCAGGCAAGGCTGAAGAATCGCCTAAACCTGGGAGGCGGAGGTTGCAGTGAGCTGAGATTGCACCATTGTGCTCCAGCCTGGGTGACAAGAGTAAAACTCCATCTCAAAAAAAATTAAAAAAAAAAATAATAATAATAATAATATGGGTACACTGAAGAAGACTTCAAAATTCACCAAGAATGTTTGGAATCTAATTTTTTAACCAACTTACTTTAGGGTCATTTTTAGCGTACGTGGATCTTCCTGGTTCTCAATTTGACACCCTCTCTAAACATGAATGAGTTTAAATCATATTCATTCCTAAGCAATCACACTCAAGAATAAGTACAGATGTGTGGAATATGCCAATACCTTTAACTCCAGATATCGTGTTCTCAAGATAAAAGCCTTTAAAACAAAAAGCCATCTTATGTATCAAGTCAGCATGAAATTGAAATACAAAATTAATATAGCTGAGGTTTTCCCTCATATCCTATGCTTTTAAATTATCTATTCTACAATCCTAGAATCAACATTTTTTTATTAAGAGACAGGGTCGGCCGGGCATGGTGGCTCACGCCTGTAATCCCAGCACTTTGGGAGGCCGAGGCGGGCAGATCACCTGAGGTTGGGAGTTTGAGACCAGCCTGACCAACATGGAGAAATCCCATCTCTACAAAAAATACAAAATTAGCTGGGCGTGGTGGCACATGCCTGTAATCCCAGCTACTTGGAAGGCTGAGGCGGGAGAATCGCTTCAACCTGGGAGGCGGAGGTTGCGGTGAGCCGAGATCCCGCCATTGCACTCCAGCCTGGGCAACAAGAGCCTGAAACTCCATCCCAAAAAAAGAGACAGGGTCTGTCTTTGTTGCCCAGGCTGGAGTACAGTGGTGCCATCAAAGCTCAGCACAGCCTCCAACTCCAGAGCTCGATCCTCCTGCCTCTGCCTCCCCTTCCTGAGCAGCTGCAACTACAGGCACATGCCTCGATACCCAGCCAATTAAAAAAAAAAAACAAACTCATACTGAACAATGAGTTCTGGGATGCAAAACAGGATTTATTTTTTGTACTTATCCATAAATATATATATATAAGTGCGTGCTGGTTGCTTTTTGTTGTTGTTGTTATTAGACCTCAAGACCATTGGGAATGTTTTTTTGTTTTTGTTTTTGTTTTTTTGAGACGGAATCTTGCTCTGTCGCCCAGGTTGGAGTGCAGTGGCAGGATCTCTGCTCACTGCAAGCTCCGCCTCCCGGGTTCATGCCATTCTCCTGCCTCAGCCCCCCAAATAGCTGGGACTACAGGCGCCTGCCACCACGCCCGGCTAATTTTTTGTATTTTTAGTAGAGACAGGGTTTCACCGTGTTAGCCAGGATGGTCTCGATCTCCTGACCTCGTGATCCACCCGCCTCAGCCTCCCAAAGTGCTGGGATTACAGGCATAAGCCACCGCACCCGGCTTATGTTTTTGTATTTTTAGTAGAGACGGGGTTTCACCGTGTTAGCCAGGATGGTCTCGATCTCCTGACCTCATGATCCACCTTCCTCGGCCTCCCAAAGTGCTGGGATTACAGGCATGAGCCATCGCGCCCGGCCTGGAATGGGTGGTTTTTTTACTACCTCTGGGTGAATGAGAAAGTACACTACAATAGCAAGAGAGCAGGAAGGGCAATTTATTATTTCTTTTCTTTTTTCTTTTTTTTTTTTTTTTTTGAGACGGAGTTTCACTCTTGTTGCCCAGGCTGGAGTGCGGTGGTGTGATCTCGGCTCACTGCAACCTCCGCCTCCTGGGTTCAAGCGATTCTCCTGTCAGCCTCCCGAGTAGCTGGGATTACAGGCACTCGCCACTACGCCTGGCTAAGTTTTGGTATTTTTTTAGTAGAGACAGGGTTTCACTATGTTGACCAGGCTGGTCTTGAACTCTTGATGTCAGGTGATCCGCCTGCCTCAGACTCCCAAAATGCTGGGATTATAGGCATGAGCCACCGCACCCAGCCAGGAGGGGCAATTTCCATTTGGAGTGAAGGAAGGGGCAGATTTGGGCGCAGGATTCTAATAATTGTTTATGAAGAGTTTCTATGTTTCATGAATTTTACATCTTTTATCTCTAAAAGACAATTTTGGCTGGACACAGTGGCTCTCACCTGTAATCCCAGCACTTTAGAAGGCTGAGGTAGGAGGACCACTTGAGTCCAAAAGTTTGAGACCAGCTTGGGCAACATAGGGAGATCCTATCTCAATTAAAAAATGAGCCAGGCTTGGTGGCACATGCCTGTGGTCCCAGCTACTCAGGGGGTGGACTGAGGTAGGATGATCGCTTGTGCCTGGGAGGTTGAGGCTGTAGTGAGCCAAGATAGCGCCACTGCACTCCAACCTGAGCAACAGAGCAAGAGCCTGTCTCAAAAAAATAAATAAAATAAAAATAAAAAGGTGGGCATTTTATAGAATAAGGAAGTTTAAATCTGAAAGGATTAAGCCACTTGCCCAAAGTCTTATAGCCAGTGAGAAGCCAGAGCCAGGATGTGAACTCAGGTCTGCATGATATGGATGCCAAAAGCCCAGGTCCTGGCCACCGTGCCAAGCTGCCTCTTGAGAAATAGGAGCTCCCCAGCCTCTAAAACATTACCCTCTTCCTGACATTGGCCCTGGAAGGTTGTTAGACCAGAACAACAACCAGGAGATGTTGCATGCAACTTAGGCACCCCACTTCAGTCATCTGTGATGCCTCAAGGACCAGAGTTCACAGTCTGTGCTTGGCACCCCCGTCAGAGCTTTGACAAGCAATGTGTTTGTTAGACATGTTGTCCTTTCCAGGCTCAACCAAACAGCTCCAGCCTGCCCGCGCTGACCAGCAGAGCAGGCCTCCAGGCTGAGTCACCGCCCAGGGGTGTTTCACAACCAACCTGTCTGTGCATTGAGGCAGCAGAGGCAGGAAAGGTCACTGGGTGGCCCATGTCACCTTGAGCTCCTGGACAGAAAGGTGGAGCCTGGCTCACCTGTACCCATCCAGTTCTCACCCGAGTTTTCTTTCTCTTCTTGTAGGCTCTCTCTTTAACCTGAGGTATTATCCTGAGCCAAGGGAAGTTTCAACAAGCTCCAGTTCCTCATCTGTAAGATGGGAACTACATACATATTTAAATTATTGTGCATCCTACATGCCCTGTATCATTTAATCTTTATAGCAAACCAGTGAGGTAGATGCTATTATTTCATTTTACAAATGCAGGTACTGAAGATCAGAGATGTTACGTCACTCACCAAAGTCACACAGCTGGTTAGCGCAGGGTCAGGAATCAACCCTAAGTCTGTATGACTAAAGAGTGTGGGTTCAGAAGGAAATGTTCAGGAGAAAAGTCTGGCTATGGCTCGGGGCCTGTAATTCCCTGCTGAGTAATTTAGGCAAGTCCCTTCCACTCTGTGGGTCACTCTGTGGGTCTTGGTTTCCCCATCCGTTCTGTGGGGTGGGAGATAGGAAGCTGGACTAATGAGGCTGGAGGCCTCTTTCGCCTTTAAGTCTATGGTCCTAAGATTTTACGCAGAAGGCCTTTCCCTCAGTCACGCCTAGAGTGTGGTCTTTGCTTCCCGTACAGCCCACTCTTGAACTTCCTCTGGGGGAAGAGCAGACAGCAGGAGATTTCCTAGCAAGCTGCAGCTCTTTTTTTTTTTTTTTTTTTTTTTTGAGATGGAGTCTGGCTCTGTCGCCCAGGCTGGAGTGCAGTAGCGCCATCTCGGCTCACTGCGAGCTCCACCTCCCAGGTTCACGCCATTTTCCTGCCTCAGCCTCCCGAGCAGCTGGGACTGCAGGCGCCGGCCACCGCGCCCGGCTAATTTTTTTGTATTTTTAGTAGAGTCGGGGTTTCTCCGTGGTCTCGATCTCCTGACCTCGTGATCCGCCCGCCTCGGCCTCCCAAAGTGCTGGGATTAGCAAGCTGCAGCTCTTGCACATGACAACTTTGTTGTGACTTCCACTGAGCCATGTCCACATCTGTGAAATTGGGATGACCATAGTACCAGCAACCCAGTCACAGTACACACCATTGTGCTAGGTGCGTCATCTACATTTCCTCTTTATCTTATAATGACCTAGAAGACGATGTCACTGCTTGAGGCCACCCGGTTTATAGGAAGTGGAGCTGCTGTCTCAGCCTAGGCATGTCTGCCTCTTTGCCCTTCGCCATACTGCTTCTCCTCTCCTAGCCATGATGGTGGGAGAATGCACTGAAATGATGAATGAAAAGCACCTGGTGACCCGATGTTACTGGCTCGCTTTTTCCCATTATAATGGGAGCTGGGACTTGAGTCTTCAACTGTTTTTGCATCCACAAATAATGCCAATGTGGGCCTTTCTATGGGTTCTTGGTACATAATTGCTGACTGATATAATTCTATTCGCTAAGGACAAGCAGGTGGAATTAGTCAATAATATTCCGGCCAAGCAGGAAGGACAACAATGTTGAGAATTAGCTCTGTGGTTGGCTTGGTCATTGCCAAGCAGCTATGCCCACTTCCCGCCCCCCCCCCCTTTTTTTTTTAACCTAGTCTCCTTCTGTTGCCCAGGCTAGAGTGCAATGGCGCAGTCTCGACTCACTGCAACCTCTGCCTCCTGGGTTCAAGCAATTCTCCTGCCTCAGCCTCCCGAGTAGCTGGGATTACAGGCGTCCACCACAATGCCTGCAAATTTTTTGTATTTTTAGTAGAGACGGAGTTTCGCCATGTTTGCCAGGCTAGTCTTGAATGCCTGACCTCAAGTGATCCACCCGCCTCAGCCTCCCAAAGTGGTGGGATTACAGGCGTGAGCCACTGCGCCCAGCCTTCCCCCTTTATTTAGTCTTAGATTTTGTCTTTTCATTATTTTATTTTATTTTATTATTTTTTTTTTTGAGACGGAGTCTTGCTGCTGTCGCCTGGGCTGGAGTGCAGTGGCACAATCTCGGCTCACTGCAAGCTCCGCCTCCTGGGTTCCAGCAATTCTCCTGCCTCAGCCTCCCGAGTAGCTGAGATTACAGGCGCCTGCCACCACGCTCGGCTAATTTTTTTTGTTTCGTTTTGTTTTGTTTTTTGAGACGGAGTTTCATTCTTGTTGCTCAGGCTGGAGTGCAATGGCGCGATCTTGACTCACTGCAATCTCTGCCTTCCGGGTTCGAGCAACTCTCCTGCCTCAGCCTCCCCAGTAGCTGAGATTACAGGCACCCACCACCACGCTAGGCTATTTTTTTGTATTTTTAGTAGTGACAGGGTTTCACCATATTGGCCAGGCTGGTCGCGAACTACTGACCTCAGGTGATCCACTCACCTGGGCCTCCCAAAGTGCTGGGATTACAGGCATGAGCCACCACCTCTGGCCATCTGGCTAATTTTTGTATTTTTAGTAGAGATGGGGTTTCACCATGTTGGCCAGGCTGGTCTCGAACTCCTGACCTCAGGTGATCCACCCACCTCAGCCTCCCAAAGTGCTGCGATTACAGGCGTGAGCCACCGTGCCTGGCATATTTTATTTTTTGAGACAGAGTCTCACTCTGTTGCTCAGGATGGAATGCAGTGGCACCATCACAGCTCACTGCAGCCTTGACCTCTCGGGTTCAAGCAATCCTCCTGTCTCAGCTGGGAAGCTGAGTAGCTGGGACCACAGGTATACACCACCATGTCTGGCTAATTTTTGTATTTTTTGTAGAGACGAGGCCTTGGCATGTTGCCCAGGCTGGTCTTGAACTCATGGGCTCAAACAATCCACCTGTCTCGTCTTTCCAAAGTGCTGGGATTATAGGGACGAGTCACCACGCCCATTCATATTCTTAGCTTTCCTTTGCCGTTATGACTTTTGTCATTTTTGTCCTGACACATTCTCACTCTCTTTTGTTTGTTTGTTTTGAGACAGGGTCTTGCTCTGTTGCCCAGGCTGGAGTGCAGTGGCGTGATCAAGCTCACTGCAGCCTCTATCTTTCAGGCTCAAGCGATCCTCCTGCCTCAGCCTCCTAAGTAGCTAGGACTACAGGCATGTGCCATCACACCTGGCTAATTTTTATTAATTTTTAGTAGAAATGAGTTATTGTTATGTTGCCCAGGCTGGTCTCAAACTCCTGAGCTCGGCCAGGCATGGTGGCTCATGCCTGTAATCCCAGCATTTTGGGAGATCGAGGCGGGTGGATCACCTGAGGTCGGGAGTTCAAGACTAGCCTGGCCAACATGGCAATACCCCCCTCTCTACTAAAAATACAAAAATTAGCCGGGCATGGTGGCGTGTGCCTATAGTCCCAGCTACTGGGGAGGCTGAGGGAGGAGAATCACTTGAACCCAGGAGGCGGAGGTTGCATTGAGCTGGGATCGCACCACTGCACTCTAGCCTGGATGACAGACTCAAAAACAAACAAACAAACAAACAAATGCCCCCTGAGCTCAAGCATTCCTCCCTACTCGGTGTCCCAAAGTGCATGAGCCGCCACGCTGGCCTCACATTCTCACTCTTTCCCCCTAGGAAATGAGAGAAGAGAATCCTAAGAGTTTGTAGAAAAGCCATTCAAACACTGATTCCTTATGAGCTCACCTGTCTAACCTCCATTCTCACTTCTCTCCCACCTGTCAAAGTCACACACCTGTCTGCCACAACTGACAATCTTATCCTCTAGCAGGACTTCTAGATTTCTGCAGAAACCTGGGATTTCTGGACACTCCAGTCTATTCATTCTTCTCTGCTTCCTGATGGGATTATCTCTCCTACTCTTACTCTGTTATTTTATTTACTAATATTTACTGTGTACCAAACCCTGTGCTTAGAATTGTAGTGACTTTCTAATTTCTCAAAATGGAAAAAGTATTTTTTTTGTACATTTTAGAGTTTTCTTCTAAAATATTAGAATTTCTAGGCCTGCCACAGTGGCTTATGCCTGTAATCCTAACACTTTGGGAGGACAAGGCGCGAGGATCGCTTGAGCTTGTGAGTTTGAGACCAGCCTGGGCAACATGGTGAAACCCCATCTCTACCAAAAATAGAAAAAATTAGCCAGGCATGGTGGTGGGTGCCTGTGTCCCCAGCTACTTGGTATTTTGTTTTGTTTTTGTTTTTTGTTTTTTTTGGGTTTTTTTTTTAGATGGATTCTCACTCTGTCACCCAGGCTGGAGTACAGTGGCGTGATCTCAGCTCACTGCAACCTCTGCCTCCCAGGTTTGAACGATTCTCCTGCCTCAACCTCCCGAGTAGCTGGGATTACAGGCACGCACCACCATGCCCAGCTAATTTTTGTACTTTTAGTAGAAACAGGGTTTCACCGTGTTGGCCAGGCTGATCTCGAACACCTGACCTCAGGTGATCTACCCACCTCGGCCTCCCAAAGTGCTGGGATTACAGGCGTGTGAGCCACCTCGCCCAGCCATTCACAGCTACTTGGGAGTCTTCAGTGGCAGGATCACTTGAGCCCGGAAGGTGGAGGTTGCAGTGCCCAGTGCACTCCAGCCTGGGTGACAGAGTGAGATCCCATTTCAAAATAAATAATTAATAAAATAAAATACATTTGAATTTCTTACAATGAGCACATAATGCTCTTGTAACCAGAAAAAAAACTATAAATGTTTTTCATTATTTTAATCAATTTTATTGAGATACATTTACATTTACATACAATTAAAATGCATCTGGGTAGGCCGGGCGCAGTGGCTCACACCTGTAATTCCAGCACTTTGGGAGGCCGAAGCAGGTGGACCACCTGAGGTCAGGAGTTCAAGACCAGCCTAGGCAAAATGGCAAAACCCTGTCTCTACTAAAAATACAAAAATTAGCTGTGCATGGTGGTGGGTACCTGTAATCCCAGCTACTTGGGAGGCTGAAGCAGGAGAATCGCTTCAACCCGGGAAGCGGAGGTTGCAGTGAGCCGAGATCATGCCATTGCACTCCAGCCTGGGTGACAAGAGCAAAACTCCATCTCAAAACAAATAAATAAAATAAAATAAAATGTATCTATTTAAATGTACATCTTGATGAGTGTTGACAAATATACACACTTGAGCACCTGACATCACAATCAAAATATAAATATTTCCATTTTTCCAGAAAGGTCCCTTATGTCTCCTTGCAATGAGTCCTCCCTACTTCCTGCCCTAGACAAGCACGATTTTATTTCTCTCACTGTAGATTAGTTTTATCTCTTCTAGAATATCACATAGATGGAATCATAAATTACATATTCTTTTGTGTCTGACTTCTTTCACTTAGAATATTGTTATTATTATTTTAGAGAAAGGGTCTTGCTCCATCGCCCAGGCTGGAGTGCAGTGGCACAATCATAGCGCACTGCAGCCTCAAACTCCTGGGCTCAAGGGATCCTCCTGCTTCAGCCTCCAGAATGTCTGAGACTATGGTTGCATGCCACCACGCTCAGTTTAGATTAATCTATCTTCTTATGTACATCAGTAGTTTTTTTCTATTGCTGAGTAGTATTCCATTGTAGAAATAAATCACAATTTGTTTATCCACTTGTGTGTGGACATTTTGTTTGTTTCAAGTTTTTTTTTTTTTTTTTTCTTTTTTTTTTTTGAGATGGAGTCTCTCTCTGTCACCCAGGCTGGAGTGCAGTGGCACCATCTCGGCTCACTGCAACCTCTGCCTCCTGGGTTCAGCAATTCTCCTGCCTCAGCGTCCCGAGCAGCTGGGACTACAGGCATGTGCCATCACACCCAGCTAATTTTTGTATTTTTAGTAGAGACAGGGTTTCACCATATTGGTCAGGCTGGTCTTGAACTCCTGACCTCGTGATCCACCCGCCTTGGCCTCCCAGAGTGCTGGGATTACAGCCATGAGCCACTGCGCAGGCTTTTTTTTTTTTTTTTTGAGAGAGTTTCTCTCTTATTGTCCAGGCAGGAGTGCAATGGCGCGATTTCAGCTCACTGCAACCTCCACCTCCTGGGTTCAAGCGATTCTCCTGCCTCAGCCTCCTGAGTATCTGGGATTACAGGCATGCACCACCACGCCCTGCTAATTTTGTATTTTTAGGAGAGACGGGGTTTCTCCATGTTGGTCAGGCTGGTCTTGAACTCCCGACCTCAAGTGATCGGCCCGCCTCGGCCTCCCAAATTGCTGGGATTACAGACATGAGCCACCGCGCCTGGCCATTTTTTTTTCATTTAAAAGGAAAAAAAGGTTATTTTCTTTTACTCTTTTTAAGTAACCCACACTCATCAAAAATTTGGAAGATAGGCTGGGCGTGGTGGCTCACTCCCAGTTACTTGGGAGGTTGAGGCGAGAGGATTGCTCGAGCCTGGGAGATTGATGCTTCAGTGAGCTATGATCTTGCCACTGCACTCCAGCCTGGGTGACAGAGTGAGACATTGTCTCGAAAAAAAAAAAAAAAAAAAAAGGCAGGGGAATCGCTTGAACCCTGGAAGTGGAGGTTACAGTGAGCTGAGATTGCGCCACTGCACTCCATCCTGGGTGACACAGTGAGACTCCATCTCAAAAAAAAAATAAAAGGAAAACAGAGACAAGTGGAGATAAAATAATCTCTGGTCCCATTAAACAAAGTTAAACAAAGGCAATTATTGTTAGTATTAGAGTGCTATGTTTTCTTCTCCTGTGTAAAGATGTTTTAAGGACTCTATATAATTAAAATCACACTGTACATTTGTAACTGGCTTGAGTAGTTAATATTATATCATAAATATTTTCCACCTTCTTTCTTTTGTAACCATTTTTAATATTATTTAATATTTTATCACTAGAATGTGGACTCTCTCAGGGCAGGGGTTTAGGTTGTCCCAGTTATTCTTTATATTCCCAAAGTTCAGCATGGTGCCTCTCCTACCGCAGGCACATAGTAAGTGCTGACTGTATTGTGTGCCACAATGTGCTTGCTATGCCCATATGGAGAATATGCCAACTCTCCTTACAATGTTCTTTTCACTAATTCTCTTTTTTTTTTTTTTTTTTGAGACAGTCTGGCTCTGTCACCCAGGCTGGAGTGCAGTGGAAGCATCTCAGCTCACTATAGCCTTGACCTCCTGGGCTCAAATGACACTCCCATCTCAGCCTCCCAAGTAGCTGGAATTACAGGCGAGGGCTACCATGTCTGGCTAATTTTTAATTTTTTGTAGAGATGGGGTCTCCCTACGTTGCCTAGGCTGGTCTTGAACTACTGGGCTCAAGTGATCCACCTGCCTCGGTCTCCCAAAGTGCTGGAATTACAGGTATGATCCACCATGTCCAGGACCCATCTTAAGTCCTAAGCACTAGTGTGTTAACCTCTGCCCTTCTGCTTCTCCATGAAGTCTTTTTGGGCTTTCTCCTCTCCTCTGGGTTGTACAAAGAGTCTCCTCCAGAAAACATTTGAGTTGATGGCATAAATAATGGCATAAAACCATTTGACCCAAGGAAGGGGGTAATTGTGATGAGATCTTAGGGGACCAGAAACAAACTCTTTTACTTCCACATAGATTATACAGCAGACTTGCAATTCTGGCAGCTGTGAGATGGAGAGAATACCACCTGCTTCTGAGAGCTAGTATGAGGAGGAAATGAATTATACAGATTCAGCTGAGCATGGTGGCTCACACCTGTAATCCCAGCACTTTGGGAGGCTGAGGCAGGTGGATCACCTGAGGTCTGGAGTTCGAGACCAGCCTGGCCAATTTGGTGAAACCCCGTCTCTACTACAAATACAAAAATTAGCTGAGTGTGGTGGTGCACGCTCGTAATCCCAGCTATTTGGGAGGCGGAGGCAGGAGAATCACTTGAACCTGGTGGGTGGAGGTTGCAGTGAGCCGAGATCATGCCACTGCACATCCACCTGGGTGACAGAGTAAGACTCCATCTCAAAAAAAAAAAAAAAAAATACAGATTCACAGAAAGTGCTTACCACAGAGCCTGGCACCCAGTAATCACACACTCAAGGGGAGCTGTCCAGGAAATTTGAGACCCAGTGGGTTAATTATCGGTTAATTATCTTCAGACTAAAACCAACACTGATTTCCCCAGACAGCCCGGGAGGGGAGAAACCCAAACAGACAGTTACAGTTCAGCTAAAACAGAGCTAATCTTTAATCTTTTATGGATACATGTAATACATTAACTATTATAGCTTATCCCCTCAAGGCACCTCAACACCTGGTCAACCAGAGGCTAGAGTTGGGTTGGCTGGGCTAAGAGGAAGGGAGCAAGTAAATAGGCCAATTACCCTTCTGCAACAGACTTTCTTAGGGCCCCGCCTTGAGATTAAGAGAATTAAATGGCTAATGCTGCCTGTCATTCAGCCAGTGGGGTGGGGAGGTGAATTTCTTGAGTCAGCACCCAATGAAGAACACTAGGCACAAAATTATATGAGGTGTTTTACCTGTCTCTCAGCAAACTAAACTCCTTAAGAATGGTGTCATTTCTTATTTGTCATTGGGTGTTTGCTGATGGTCATTACTATTAATAATAATGCTGTAGTTGTCATAATAGGAAAAAAATCCAAAGGCATAGAATTACTAAGGCTAAGTATCTATGAAATCATAAAGTTCGACTACTGCATTTTCTCAACTCTAAGATGCATTTTGTGTCTGGGTTTATCGGGCTTCAATTTATAACAGATATATATATATATATATATACACACACACACACATAGAGAGAGAGTGTTTATCAATCGACTGAAACTCTGTTATTAAATCAATACTATGACTTAGAGTGGACAGTGTCTAGGAATCAAGGAAATATGATAATTCAATCTCTCCCACTCGGAACAAGAATTCTTTCTTTTCTTTTTTTTTGAGATAGAGTCTCGCTCTGTTGCCCAGGCTGGAGTGCAGTGGCACCACCTTGGCTCACTGCAACCTCTGCCTCCCAGGTTCAAGCGATTCTCCTCCCTCAGCATCCTGAATAGCTCGCATTACAGGTATGTGCCACCATGCCCAGCTAATTTTTCTGTTTTTAGTAGAGATGGGGTTTCGCCATGTTGGCCAGGCTGGTCTTGAACTCCTGACCTCAGGTGACCTGCCCACCTAGGCCTCCCAAAGTGCTGTGATTACAGGCATGAGCTACCACGCCCAGCCAATAATTCTTTCTACCACAGTCTCTCCTTCAGTATTTCCACTGGAAGGGAGTCTACTTCATATCCGGGCCCCCCTTCCACTACTGGACACCACCATTGCGACAAGTTGTTCCTTTTATTAAGCTGAAATCTATATCCCTATAATTTTCACCCAACAATTCTAGTCCTGTCCTCTGGAACTATACAAAAGCAGTTAGTTTTTTTCAGGAGGCTATTACAGATTGAAGTTTGTGTCTCCCCAAAATTCATATGCTAAATCCTGGGAGAAGTAGAAATTTGCCCAGCACTACATAGGCACTGTGTACACCTGGAGGGCCTTTAAAAAAAAGAATCCTAACCTCCAATGTGGTGGTGAGCCTTTGGGAGATAATTAGGTCGTGAGGGTGAAGTCTTCATTAATGAGATTAGTGCCCTTGTAGGAAAAAACAAGAGAGATGATTTTTCTCTCAGCCATGTGATGCTATGAGAATGCAGCCATCTGCAATTCATGAAGCCGACCCTCACCAGACACTGTATCTATCAGCACCTCAATCTTGGACTTCCCAGCCTCCGGGAAATATGTGAAATCATTCGTTGTTTTGGCCACCCAGTCTTTGGTAACTTGTTATAGCAATCCAAACTAACACAGAGCAAAGTCTTAGTACAATAAATCTCTGGAGGCAGACAGATTTGGCTTTTAAACCTGACTCTGACACTTATCAGCAATGTACTTAACTTCTCAGAGCCTATTTCCTCATTTGCTAAGTGGGCTGAAGTCCCCATGGTTGTGAGAGTTAAATGAGTTAAATATACTCTAACCCTAACCCTAGCCCTTTCCTCTTCATCTCTCCTCAGTCCCCACTGGCTTTGTCATATATTCATATACTGGAAGACAGATGTCATGTCCACCCTTCGTAAGTCTTTTCTAATTAAACATTCCCCAATTCCTAAACCATTCTCCTAACAGTAAATCTGATTCATTGCATACCTACAATATACAGTATATACCAGGCACTGCCAAAGGCCTAAGAAGTTAAATAAACTGCCTAGACCCACACAAGCAGTTGCCAGAATTATAGATCTGTCTGACTGTAAAGCCACACCTTCAAATCTAGATCCTATAGCAGTACTGTCTAACAGAAATATGTGAGTCACATATATACTTTTAAATATTCTAGGCCAGGCATGGGGGCTCACACCAGCAATCTGGGAGGCCCAGGTAGTAGGATCACTTGAGGACAGGAGTTTGAGACCAGCCTGGCCAACATGGTGAAACCTGGTCTACTTAAAGAAAAAAAAAAAAATCAGGCGGGCATGGTGGCATGCATCTGTAGTTCCAGCTACTCAGGAGGCTAAGACATGAGAATTGCTTGAGTCTGGGAAACAGAGGTTGCAGTGAGCCCAGATTGTGCCACTGCACTCCAGCCTGGAAGACAGAGCAAGACTTCTGTCTCCAAATAAATAAAAATATAAATAAATAAATATTCTAGTAGCACCCTGTAAAAATAAGCTGGGCTCAGTGGCTTACACCTGTAATCCCAGCACTTTGGGAGGCTGAGGCAGGTGGATCACCTGAGGTCAGGAGTTCAAGACCAGCCTGGCCAACATGGTAAAACTCTGTCTCTACTAAAAAATAGAAAAATTAGCCAGATGTGGTGGCGGGCGCCTGTAGTCCTAGCGACTGGGGAGGCTGAGGAAGGAGAATTGCTTAAACCTGGGAGGTAGAAGTTGCAGTGAGCCAAGATCACGCTACTGCACTCCAGCCTGGACGACAGAGCAGGACTCCGTCTCAAAACAAAACAAAACAAAACAAATAAATAAAAATAAATAAACAAGTTAAATTAAATGTAATAAAATATTTTTATTTAACCCCAGTATCCAAAATATTATCATTTCAGCAAGTACTCTATATAAAAAAATATTGACTTGGTGTTGTGGCTCACACCTATGATCCCAGCACTTTAGGAGGCCTAGGCAGCAGAATTTCTTGAGCCCAGGAGTTGGAGACCAGCCTGGTCAATATAGTGAGACCCTGTCTCTACAAAAAAAGGAAAGAAAAAAAGGCTGGGGCTGGGCACGGTGGCTCACGCCTGTAATCTCAGGACTTTGGGAGGCCGAGGCAGGCAGATCACCTGAGGTCAGGGGTTCAAGACCAGCTTGGCCAACATGGTGAATCCCATCTCTACTAAAACTACAAAAATTAGCCAGGCGTGGTGGCTCACGCCTGTAATCCCAGCTACTCAGGAGGCTGAGGCACAAGAATCACTTGAAACTAGGAGGCGAAGGTTGCAGTGAGCCAAGATGGCGCCACTGCATTCCAGCCTGGGTGACAGAGTGAGACTGTTTAAAATATATATATATATATATATTTATGTGTAGATATACATTTTTATATATGTATATATATGTGTATATATGTGTATATATGTGTGTGTATATATATATATGTGTGTGTGTATATGTGTATATATATATGATTCCTCACTTCAAGATGTTTACAATCTATCCAGGGAGATAAGCCATGCACAAAATACATTCACAGATCCAGTGACTCCCCCGAAAAATGAAAAAAATAATTTTGAAAAAATGAATTTAAAAAAGAGTGAAAACAATAAAATAGAATGCACCTGTAATCCAGCTACTTGGGAGGCTGAGGCAGGAGAATAGCTTGAACCCAGGAGGCGGAGGTTGCAGTGAGCCAAGATCGCGCCACTGTACTCCAGCCTGGGCAACAGAGCAAGACTCTGCCTCAAAAAAAAAAAAAAAAAAAGGCCGGGCGCGGTGGCTCATGCCTGTAATCCCAGCACTTTCGGAGGCCGAGGCGGGTGGATCACGAGGTCAGGAGATCGAGACCATCCTGGCTAACACGGTGAAACCCCATCTCTACTTAAAATACAAAAAATTAGCTGGGCGTAGTGGCAGGCGCCTGTAGTCCCAGCTACTCAGGAGGCTAAGGCAGGAGAATGGCGTGAACCCGGAAAGTGGAGTGAGCCGAGATTGCGCCACTGCACTCTAGCCCGGGCGACACAGCGAGACTCCATCTCAAAAAAAAAAAAAAAAAAAGCTAATAACTACTGCTTATTAAATGCCTACACGCCAGGCATGATGGCTCATGCCTGTAATCCCAGCACTTTACGAGGTCAAGATGGGAGGATGGCTTGAGGCCAGGAGTTTGAGACCAGCCTGGGTCTCACATAGTGAGACTCCGTCTCTAAAAAAATTAATAAAATTAAATAAAAATAAAAGAAAATAAAAATATTAAGTGCTTACAATAAGCCAAGCACTATGTTAAATGCTTTATAACCATCTCATTTGATTTTGGCAAACTCCTTTGAAAGTACTATTATTATCTCTATTTTACAAAAAAAGGAAGCTGAGGCTCAGGGAGGGGAAGTGAATGCCCATGGTTGCACAGCTGGGTAGTGGCAAAGTACAGGGGTGGGCCCCATCCTAAGCTCTAGGCATCATATCCTTATCAGAGAAACCCATCCCTGTAATCTCCAGGCCTCCTTCAGGTATTATCATATTGTTTACCCATTTTCTGTCTATCTCCCCTACCTTTTTAAAAAAATTTACCCTTCTTTAAAATACCAGCTAAAATCTGGGTAAACCCTATGGTGCCTCAAATGACCTGTAATTCACTGGACTTTCTATGCTGCAATTAGTGTCTGTATAGGAAAAGAGAGGCCAAAGAAGTTCACAGCCTCCTCTAATCATTACAGCACTTGAGAGCTGGTCACTCTGCCCAATCTTGTGAATCACCAGGTTGATCAGGAGGCACATCCTAAACCCTAGGGCATACGCAATCCTTGTCAATCTTCTTTTCCTACTTAGTACACTCTTTCACGATGATCTCATTCAATGTCATGGCTTTTAGCTACCATCTATGAGGCTATGGTTTTGAAATCTCTATCTGTAGCCCATTTCTCTCCCCTGAACTTTGCCATTTGGGTGTCCCACAGACACCTGATGCTCAGTGGGTCTACATATGAACTCATCTTTCCTGTCTCACCCACACTGCTCTGTGTTTCCTAGCTTAGAGAAAAAAAGTGCTACGATAGCCACCCAAGACATCTGTGACTCCTTCATCTCTGTCTTTACCTCTGGTTAGTCATTAAAGAATTATTTTCCATATATATATAGAGGACAGAGTCTTGCTCTGTAGCCCAGGCTGGAGAGCAGTGGTGCAATTTCAGCTCACTACAACCTCTGCCTCCTGGGTTCAAGCAATTTTGGTCTCTTGACCACCTGAGCCACCTGAGTAGCTGGGACTACAGGCGTGTGCCACCACACCCGGCTAATTTCCTCTTTTTACTTTTTTTTTTGAGCCGGAGTCTTGCTCTGTCGCCCAGGCTAAAGTGCAGTGGTGCGATCTCGGCTCACTGCCAGCTCTGTCTCCCAGGTTCACACCATTCTCCTGACTCAGCCTCCCAAGTAGCTGGGACTACAGGCGCCCGCCACTACGCCCAGCTAATTTTCTGTATTTTTAGTAGAGACAGGGTTTCACCGTTAGCCAGGATGGTCTCGATCTCCTGACCTCGTGATCCACCCCCCTCGGCCTCCCAAAGTGCTGGGATTACAGGCGTGAGCCACCGCGCCTGTCCTCTTTTTACATTTTTAAAATCTTTTTCTGACATTTGTTTCTCAGCTGGAGTTGTACCAAAGCGCCTAACTGGTCGTTTTTCTTTAATTTTTTTCCAGACAGGATCTCCCTCTGTTGCACAGGCTGGAGTGCAGTGGCGCTATCTCAGCTCACTGCAACCTCTGCCTCCTGGACTCAAGCAATCCTCCCACCTCAGCCTCCCAAGTAGCTGGGACTGCAGGTGCGAGCCACTACGTTCAGCTAATTTTTTGTATTTTTTGTAGACACAGGGTTTCACCATGTTGTTCAGGCTGGTCTTGAATTCCTGAACTCAAGCCATCTGCCCGCCTTGGCCTCCCAAAGTGCTGGGATTACAGGCCTGAGCCACCGTGTCCGGCCTGGTCTTTTTTCTCTAGGCTCTCTCCTTTCCCAAACTTTTCTCCATGTTGTAGCCAGGGTTCTTTTAAAGCTCACATGTATTCTTTGGTATGGCACTGCAGAGTACTCCTGGATCTGGACCTACTCCTTTTCCAGACTCTTTTTTTTTTTTGAGACAGAGTCTCTCTCTGTAGCCCAGGCTACAATGCAGTGGCGCGATCTCGGTTCGCTGCAACTTCCGCCTCCCGCGTTCAAGCGATTCTCCCACCTCAGCCTCCCTAGTAGCTGGGATTACAGGCGCGCGTCACCATGCCCGGCTAATTTTTGTATTTTTAATGGAGACGGAGTTTTACCATCTTGGCCAGGCTGGTCTCGAACTCCTGACCTCAAGTGATCCGCCTGCCTCGGCCTCCCAAAGTGCTGGGGTTACAGGCGTGAGCCACCGCGCCCAACCCCTCAGTTCTTTTTTCTTTTGAAACCCACTATAATCTCTGTAAGTCCTATCAGTTCCAAGAGACTTTCTACACAAATACATCTCCAGGTTGTCAAACCTAAAAAGATTTTCCTAGAGCATGGCCTATGACGTCAAGGATCCAGGTAGCGCCCGGAGGAAAGCGCCAAAGGAGGCCGCCATCTTTCATACAGCAGCCCGGAATTTTGCGCATGCGCCTCTGATTGTCTGTCCGCAATGAAGCTCTTCGGCCTTCTCGGCACCCATACGTTTGGGAACGGCAGTTTCGAGGTTTGTGAGACGTCGGCTTCCGACCGGAAGTGAGAAGAGGAGGAAGTTGGCTGGTTGCACCGATCTGGGGGCTTCCCGGGCTCGGGTAACCGGAGTGCTGGTATCTAATCGTCGCTCAAAAGCTCCTAGGTGCGCGGGTGGATATAATTCCCGGCTTCTCGAGAAGACACTACAGCCTCAAGGAGGTGTGCTTCTAGTGTTTAATTGGATACGTGTTATGGATGCCGGCTTAGAAGGACCTATATACCATCATCTTAAAATAACTTCCCCTTGGCTCTCTCTCTCTTTTTTTTTTTTTTTTTTTTTTTGAGACGGAGTTTCGCTCTTGTTGCCCAGGCTGGAGTGCAATGGCGCGATCTCGGCTCACCGCAACCTCGCCTTCCGGGTTCAAGCGATTCTCCTGCCTCAGCCTCCTGAGGAGCTGGGATTACAGGCGCTCGCCACCAGGCCTGGCTAATTTTTTGTATTTTTAGTAGAGTCGGGGTTTCTTCATGTTGGTCAGGCTGGTCTCGAACTCCCAACCTCCAGTTGATCCGCCGGCCTCGGCCTCCCAAAGTACTGAGATTACAGGCGTGAGCCACCGCGCCCGGCCTTGGCTCTCTTTAAAAGGCATTTTTAGGCTAGCCGCAGTGTGGTCTCCCGCCTGTAGTAGTCCCAGCTACTCGGCTTGAGCCCAGGAGTTCGAGGTTATAGTGAGCTAGGAACTCCCCACTGCACTGCAGCCTGGGCTACAGAGCGAGATCCTGTCACCAAAAAAGAAAAGCGTACGGGGGAAGGCATTTTCAGAGAGATAGAACGCCTAGATGTTAGTTTGGTCCAAACTCTGCTACCAACTTGCTGTGTGTATCCTTCTGTCCCTCTCCAAGTCTCAATATCCTCATCTATAAAACGAAGGTCCCTTAAGTCACTTTTTCAGTTCTTCTGAATTTTGTTGCCTCTTTATTATCTCGTTTGAGCCACATAGCCTTGGGAGTTAAAAATCACTGGCCTTTGGCCGGGCACGGTGGCTCACACCTGTAATGCCAGCACTTTGGGAGGCCGGATCACCTGAGTATCACCTGAGGCCAGGAGTTCGAGGCCAACCTGGCCAACATGACGAAACCCCGTCTCTACTAAAAATACAAAAAAAATTAGCTGGGCTTGGTTGCGGGCGCCTGTAATCCCAGCTACTCGGGAGGCTGAGACAGGAGAATCGCTTGAACCTGGGAGGCAGAGGCTGCAGTGAACAGAGATTGCGCCATTGCACTCCAGCCTGGGCGACAAGAGTGAAACTCCGTCTCAAAAAAAAAAAAAAAAAAAAATCACTGGCCTCATTTTATAAGGAAGACATTGAGTCCCAGGGTGAGGGGTTATAGATAGGACTTTCTCAAGATTGCACAGGTAATGTGGAGGTTTCAGAACTTGAGACTAGAAGGTAATGCTGTAACTCCATGACCAGATCTCCTTTCTATATTTCTGTGTCATCAGTTCCTGGAACTGGCCATATAAGGAAATACTCAAACGTTTTTGAATGAATGAATCTTTGATTTGAAGGCCAGTGCCACAACAGATCTGGTCTCTCTCCACCACTTTGATGTATAAACAAGTGAACTCTTTTCCAGGTATATCCCGTGCCTTACCTGACTGGGGGCTCTGAGTCCAGTTGTGTTGTCTTCAACTTAGACACCATGGAGGCACCTCCAGTCACCATGATGCCTGTCACTGGGGGCACCATTAACATGATGGAGTACCTGTTGCAGGGTAAGTGAACTAGGGAACTTGGATTACCTGTTTTCCTCTTCTCTGTTCAGCTTCCCTTAAGATGAGAGACTTAACACAAAAGCAGCCTGCACAGTTTCTGGCACCCAGCTATGTTTTTAACTGTTACTTTAAATTATAGTTTTATATGCACTAAACATACTAAATTTGCCATCTTGGCTGGGCATGGTGGCTCACGCGTATAATCCCAGCACTTTGGGAGGCCGAGGTGGGCGGATCACGAGGTCAGGAGATGGAGACCATCCTGGCTAACACAGTGAAACCCTGTCTCTACTAAAAATACAAAAGAAATTAGCCCGGCGTGGTGGCGGGCACCTGTAGTCCCAGCTACTCAGGAGGCTGAGGCAGGAGAATGGTGTGAACCTGGGAGGCAGAGGTTGCAGTGAGCCGAGATCGCGCCACTGCACTCCAGCCTGGGCGACAGAGTGAGACTCTGTCTCAAAAAAAAAAAAAAATTGCCATCTTAACATATTTAAGTGTACAGTTCTGTATTGTTAAGTATATTAACATTGTTAAACAACAGATCTTTAGAACTTTGGTTTATTGTGAGTAGCTTGAAAAAATACTTAGTACAACTTTTTATTTCTTTGAGACAGAGTCTCAATCTGTCACCCAGGCTGGAACGCAGTGGCACAATAACAGCTCACTGCAACCTCTATCTACTTCCCGGGTTCGAGGGATTCTTGTGTCTCAGCCCCCCTAAATAGCTGGGATTGCAGGCGTGCATCACCACGCCCAGCTAATTTTTGTATTTTTAGTAGAGAGTTGTGGTTTCATCACGTTGGCCAAACTGATCTTGAACTCTTGCCCTCAAGTGATATACTTGCCTTGGCCTCCCAAAGTGCTAGGATTACAGGTATGAGCTGCCGCGCCTGGCCTAAAATACTTAAGTTTTTCATCCTATAAAACTGCAACTCTATACCCATTAAACACTAATTACCACTCCCCTCTATGCCAAACCCTTAGCAACTATCTTTCTAGGTCCTGTTTCTCTGATTTTTTTTTTTTAAGATGGATTCTCACTCCGTTGCCCAGGCTGGAGCACAGTGGTGCAATCTTGGCTTACTGCAGCCTCTGCCTCCCAGATTCAAGCGATTCTTCTGTCTCAGCCTCCTGAGTAGCGGGATTACAGGTGTGCACCACCATGGCCAGCTAATTTTTGTATTTTTAATAGAGACAGGGTTTTTCCATGTTGGCCGGGCTGGTCTTGAACTCCTGACCTCAGGTGATCCACCTGCCTCAGCCTCCCAGAGAGCTGGGATTACAGGCGTGAGCCACCGCGCCCAGCCAGATTTTGTAAACAAGTATCTGAATATGTTCCTAACATTTGAGCCATAGCCATGGAGGCAGAAAGATGACTAAAAAAATGTATGTCAAGCCAGCTGTTACAGGCTTATGCCTGTAATTCCAGTTGTTTGGGAGGCTAAGGCTGCAGTACTGCTTGAGTTCGGGAATTCAGGATTAGTCTGGACAACATAGCAAGAACTCATCTCTACTAAAAAAAAAAATTAGCTGGGCATGGTGGTGCGCACCTGTAGTCTGAACCACTTGGGAGGCTGAGGCGGGAGGATCACTTGAGCCCAGGGGATGGAGGCTGCAAAGAGTTATAATCACGCCACTGCTCTATAGCCTGGAGACAGAGTGAGACCCTACCTAAAAAAAAAAAACAAAACTATGCCATAAAAATAAAGCAGGAAAGTGGCTAGAGATTGGTAGGACACATACTATTTTATTAGGGTGATCAGAAAAGGCCTTGATGATAAAGTCACTTGAGCAGAGACCTGACAAAAGTGATAGAGTAGACATGCAGATGGGAAGAACATCCTAAGCACAGAGAATAGGAGAAGGGGTGTGGCAGGAAGGTCACTCCTGGAGAGAATGATCAAGGGGAGGAATAGAAGGAGATGATGTTTGGCAGGTAGCAGAGACCATAATATGTAGGGCCTTGTTGACAACGGTAAAGATGTTGGCTTTTATTCTGAATGACACAGGAAGCCACTGTAGTGTCCTGAGTAGAGGAGTGTTATTATCTGCCCAATAATTTAATAGACCATTTGGCTTTCATATGGAGAAGAGAGGAAGAAGGCAAAGGTAGAAAGAGGCGATTGCAAAGACCAGGCAAGAAATGAGGGTGACTTCATTTGAAGGGACTAGGTTGAAGTGACCAGATGAGTGAGAAGTGATTGCATTCTGCATTTATTTCAAAAATACGGATTCAATGGAGGGTATGAGAGAAAGAAAGAGGGTGTGAGTCAAAGATGATTTTCTGGTTTTTGGCCTGGGTAACCAACTAAAAACAGAGAGTTGCCATTTACTGTGATGTTGAAGACTGTAGGGTGAATAAGATTTTGGAGGAAAAAATCAACAGTTTGATATTGAACATGTTAAGATAAAGATGTCTGTTAGGCATCCAAGTGAGGAAACTGAGTAGGAAGTTGGATGTTTTCATCTGTAGTTCAGAGATAAAAACGTGGGAGTCCTCAGGGCCTAAATGATATTTAAAGCCATGGGACCAAATAAAGTCACCTAGGCAGGAAAAGAGTATTGATACAGAAGAGGACCAGGATTGAGTCCTAGTCCTCCAGTGTTTGGGGAAGATGAGAGAGACCAAGCAAAGAAGACTTAAACGGAATGGTCAGCAAGTTAAGTGAAGACAAGAAAGTTGTGTCTCAGAGGCCAAGGGAAGAATAGATTTCATAGTGGGTATAATCTACTGTAACAATTATGTCAGATGTTGCCAAGAGGATGAAGATTCTATGAAGCAATTCACTCTCTTCTACTTACATACAGAAGAGGAAAACTTTTCCTGATAAAAAGGAAACTTTAGCCAGGTGCAGTGGCTCCATGCCTGTAATCTCAGCACTTTGGGAGGCTGAGGCAGGCGGATCACGAGGTCAAGAGATCGAGACCATCCTGGCCAACATGGTGAAACCCTGTCTCTACTAAAAATACAACAATTAGCTGGGCGTGGTGGCACACGCCTGTAGTCCCAGTTACTCAGGAGGCTGAGGCAGGAGAATCGCTTGAACCCAGGAGGTGGAGGTTGCAGTGAGCTGAGATCGCACCACTGCACTCCAGCCTGAAGACAGAGCTAGACTCCGTCTCAAAAAAAGCGGGGGAGACTTTATATTTCTTCTATAAATGGAAGACTTTGATTTGTTGGAAATAGAAGGCAATTGTTAAAATATATAACAACAAAATAGTGTTATTGGCTGGGCATGGTGGCTTGTGCCTGTAATCCCAACACTTTGGGAGACCAAGGCCAGGAGTTCAAGACCACCCTGGGCAACATAGTAAGACCCCAACTCTACAAAAATAAATAAATACATAACTAAAACAGTATTATTACATTCTAGATAGACACTGTCGCTGATTAAAGGCTCTAAGCCCCAGGCCTGCTGGAGATGAGCATTAGAAGAGGCCTAAAGACTTTGTAGTGCTAAATAAGAAAATTCCAAAAAAATTGAAAAGGAAAATAACTTTCTCACAACGTTATACAATACCTTGGTAGTGTAATTTCTGTAAAATCTCATGTTTGGCTGTATGTTTTATGAAATGCTTCACTAAACTGTTTTGGTTTTTCATTTAAGTTTTTTCAATTGTATACTAACTCCATGACCTAAAATGAAAGACAGGACTCAGTGGTGCTTTTTCCGTTTTCAGGAAGTGTTTTAGATCACAGTTTGGAAAGCCTCATCCACCGCCTTCGTGGTTTGTGTGACAACATGGAACCTGAGACTTTCCTTGACCATGAGATGGTATTCCTCCTTAAGGGCCAGCAAGCCAGCCCATTTGTTCTCAGGGCCCGACGCTCTATGGACAGGGCAGGGGCACCCTGGCATCTGCGCTACCTGGGACAGCCAGAAATGGGAGACAAGAACCGCCATGCCCTGGTGCGAAACTGCGTGGACATTGCCACATCTGAGAACCTCACCGACTTCTTGATGGAAATGGGCTTCCGCATGGACCATGAGTTTGTTGCTAAGGGACATTTGTTCCGTAAGGGCATCATGAAGATTATGGTGTACAAGATTTTCCGCATCCTGGTGCCAGGGAACACAGACAGCACTGAGGCCTTGTCACTCTCCTATCTCGTGGAATTAAGTGTGGTAGCACCCGCTGGGCAGGACATGGTCTCTGATGACATGAAGAACTTCGCAGAACAGCTAAAACCTCTGGTTCACCTAGAGAAAATAGACCCCAAGAGGCTCATGTGACTAAGAGGATCTGTCCACATTTGGGGCCTATCCTTACTTGTTTGAAAAAATATGTTTGCTTTTTTTGGTTTTTGTTTTGTTTTGTTTTTGAGACAGAGTCTCGCTTTGTTTCCCAGGCTGGAGTGCAGTGGCACGATCTCGGCTCACTGCAACCTCTGCCTCCTGGGTTCAAGCAATTCTCCCACCTCAGCCTCCTGAGTAGCTGGGATTACAGGCACATGCCACCATGCTCAGCTAATTTTTGTATTTTTAGTAGAAATGGGGATTCACCATGTTGGTCAGGCTATTCTCGAACTCCTGACCTCGTGATCCACCCACCTTGGCCTCCCAAAGTGCTGGGATTACAGGCATGAGCCACCACGCCTGGCCAAAAAAATATGTTTTAAATGTCCCATTTCACCATTGCCAGGCAGGCATTCTTCCTTCAGGGAGAGGATGGTGAGAATTAATTGGTTCTTTGCACTGTTCTCCTCATGTGGCGATTTCACTTTCATGACAGCCTTTCTATATTAAAGGCTCAGGATGTCACGGAGAATCTATCTAATCCCACTGTATTAAGAGGGGAAACCGGGCCAAGCGCAGTGGCTCACACCTCTAATCCCAGCACTTTGGGAGGCTGAGGTAGGTGGATCACCCAAGGTCAGGAGTTTGAGACCAGCCTGGCCAAATGGTGAAACCCCATCTCTACGAAAAATACAAAATTTAGCCGGGCATGGTAGCAGGCGCTTGTAATCCCAGCTACTTGGGAGGCTGAGGCTGGAGAATCGCTTGAACCCAGGAGGTGAAGGTTGCAGTGACCAGAGATGACGCCATTGCACTCCAGCCTGGGTGAGAAGAGCGAAACTCCGTCTCAAAAAAAAATAAAAATGAAGAGGGGAAACCAGAATAAATTATCTTTTGGAAAGGACAATTTCTTGTTTGGCCATTTGTGTATAAGGTTGGTAACATTAGAGGCTGTGAGCTTGTGTTACATGGTAATAAAGCCAATGAAGAGACATGTCTGTGTAATTCTGATTCTTTATTCCCTTACCCTGTAAATTTGGGGTAGATTCATTACCAGTTGAAGCAAAAAAAATGACAGTTCCTAGTTTTAATTGTGGCAGAGATGAGGATGAGAGTTTTCACCTTTCATAAAAGTAGCATATTTATTGTTGAAAACTTTTAAAATATAGTACAGATAGAAAATAACACCTATTATCCAAAGAGAAGTACTAGTTCTATTTTGGTATATATCCATCTAGTCTTTATTTTTTTATAAATTTATGTATATGAAATGTGTTTATTTTATAAAAAGATTCCATATATACTGGTTTATAACCCTTTTTTCCCATTCATCTATCATTAACATCTTTCCAGGACATTTGTCTACACTCCCCTTTTGTTAAAAAAAATTTTTTTTTTTTTTTGAGACAGAGTTTCGCTCTTGTTGCCCAGGCTGGAGTGCAGTACTGCGATGATCTCAGCTCACTGCAACCTCCACCTCCCAGGTCCAAGTGATTCTCCTGCCTCAGCTTCCCAAGTAGCTGGGATTACAGGCATGGGCCACCATGCCCGGCTAATTTTTTTTTTTTTTGAGATGGAGTACAGTGGCGCACTCACGGCTCACTGCAAGCTCCGCCACCCGGGTTCACGCCATTCTTCTGCCTCAGCCTCCCGAGTAGCTGGGACCACAGGCGCCCGCCACCACGCCCGGCTAATTTTTTGTATTTTTAGTAGAGACGGGGTTTCACAGTGTTAGCCAGGATGGTCTCAATCTCCTGACCTCGTGATCCGCCCCGCTCGGCCTCCCAAAGTGCTGGGATTACAGGCGTCAGCCACCGCGCCCGGCCTTAATTTTTTGTATTATATTTTTTATTTTCGAGAAAGGGTCTCACTGTTGTCCACGCTGGAGTGCAGTGGCATTGTGTTTTTAAGAAACGGTGTTTCGGGCAGGGCGCGTTGCTCACGCCTGTAATCCCAGCACTTTGGGAGGCCGAGGTGGGCAGATCATGAGGTCAGGAGATCAAGACCATCCTGGCTAACACGGTGAAACCCCGTCTCCACTAAAAATACAAAAATTAGCCGGGCGTGGTGGCGGCCGCCTATAGTCCCAGCTACTCGGGAGGCTGAGGCAGGAGAATTGCTTGAACCCGGGAGGCGGAGCTTACAGCGAGCTGAGATCGCGTCACTGCAGTACAGCCTGGGCGACAGAGCAAGACTCCGTCTCAAAAAAAAAAAAAAAAAAAGAAGGAAACGGTGTTTCACCATGTTGGTCAGGCTAGTCTCGAACTCCCTACCTCAGCCTCACCAAAGTACTGGGATTACAGGCATGAGCCACCGCACCCGGCCAAAATTTTTTTCTTTTTAAAGCTAGTTTATTGAGTTCCTGTTATGTGTCAGTGCTATCCTAAGTGCTTCAGGTATGTTAAACCCGTTTTGTAAACAGGAGAACTGGTACATATAGATTAATTAACTTTCCCTGAGCTATACAGCTACTGATTGGCAGAGCTGGTATTTAAATATTGACAATTATAATTGCTATTTCTATTTCATCATATGGATTTGCTATAAGTTATCTAATTGAATCCTCTATGATTTTCAGTTTGATCCCATTTTTTTTGCTTTTATAAGCTGTGTAACAATAGAGCTTTTATTTATTTATTTTTTTGAGACAGAGTCTTGCTCTGTCGCCCAGGCTGGAGTGCAATGGCATGATCTCAGCTCACTGCAACCTCCGCCTCCTGGGTTCAGGTGATTTCCAGCTAATTTTTGTATTTTTAGTAGAGAGAGGGTTTCACCATGTTGGCCAGGCTGGTCTCGAACTTCTGAACTCAAGTGATCTGCCTGCCTCAGCCTCCCAAAATGCTGGGATTACAGACATGAGCCACTGTGCCTGGCCTGATATGTACTTGTTACTCTATGTAAATCTAACTCATAACTTCCAACTTGCATATGCTTTCATACTAATAAAAGTATTAGTGTTTAAATAGTGTTTGCTCCATGACAGGTACTTTATTTTTATTATTTATTAATTCATTTATTTTTTGAGACAGAGTCTTGCTCTGTCACCCAGGCTGGAGTGCAGTGGTGCCATCTCGGCTCACTGCAACCTCCTTCTCCCGGGTTCAAGCGATGCCCCTACCTCAGCCTCCTGGATAGCTAGGATTACAGGCATGTGCTACCACGCCCAGCTAATTTTGATTTTTTTTTTTTTTTTTTTTTGAGAGGGAGTTTTGCTCTTGTTGCCAGGCTGGAGTGCAATGATGCAATAGCAGCTCACTGCAACCTCTGCCTCCCGGGTTCAAGCGATTCTCCTGCCTCAGCCTCCCGAGTAGCTGGGATTACAGGCGGCCACCACCATGCCCAGCTAATTTTTGTATTTTTAGTAGAGATGAGGTTTCACCATGTTAGCCAGGATGGTCTTGATCTCCTGACCTTGGGTGATCCACCTGCCTTGGCCTCCCAAAGTGCTGGAATTACAGACTTGAGCCATCACACCCAGCCATGACAGGTACTTTAAATGTTTCAACTCATGTACTTCTCATAACAACTGTATGAGGGTTGTGAGTTGTTATTATTTCCATTTTATAGATGAGGTTATACAGAGAGGTTTCTCAATTTTTTTTTTTTTTTCAGATAGTCTTCTCACTCTGTTGCCTAGACTGGAGCGCAGTGGCACAATCACAGCTCACTGCAGCCTCGACATCCCAGGCTCAGGTGGTCTTCCAACCTCAGCTTCCCAGGTAGCTGGGACTACAGGCATGCACCACCACACCTGGCTAATTATTGCATTTTTTTGTAGAGATAGGGTTTCACCACGTTGCCCAGGCTGGTCTAAAATTTCTGGGCTCAAACAGTCCGCCTGCCTTGGCCTCCCAAAATGGTGGGATTACAGGCATGAGCCACTACAACCAACTTCAAATTTCTTTTTTCTGTTGTCCAAAGTCAGAACTAGTAAGTGGTGGAGCCTGAATTTCAAATCAGGCAGATCATCTCCACAATCTAGACACGTAATCACTGTGTATCCACCATGTTTTATTCATTTAGTCCCTTTATATCATAGAAACCTAGATTGCTGCTGGGTGCGTAGTTCATGCCTATAATCCCAGCACTTTGGGAGGCTCAGGTGAAAGGATTGCCTGAGGCCAGGAATTTGAGACCAGCCTGGACAACATAGTGAGACCCCATCTCTAAAAAAAAAATTTTTTTAAGCTTGGCATGGTGGCACAGGCCTGTAGTCCTAGCCACTTGGGAGGCTGAGGCAGGAAGATCATTTGAGCCCAGGAGGTTGAGGCTGCAGAGCTATTATGGTGTCATTGCACTCCAGCCTCAGGGACAGCGAGACCCTGTATCTATTAAAAACAACAACAACAATAGAAAACAAACCTGGCTGGGCACAGTGGCTCATGTCTGTAATCCCAGCACTTTGGGAGGCCGAGGCAGGCAGATTACCTGTCAGGAGTTTGAGACCAGCCTGGCCAACATGGTGAAACCCCATCTCCACTAAAAATATAAAAATTAGCTGGGCATGGTGGCACACGCCTGTAATCCCAGCTCCTTAGGAGACTGAGGCAGGAGAATTGCTTGAGCCCAGGAGACAGGTTGCAGTGAGCTGAGATTGTGCCACTGCAATCCAGCCTGGCCGATAAAGCGAGACTCTGTCTCAAAAAAAACAAAAACAAAAACAAAAACACCTGAGATTGCCTGCAACTCTTCACTACCATAAAAAATGCTAAAATAAGCAAATTCGTAGATTGTTATAAAAATTCCCCTGGATGACTGGGCGCGGTGGCTCATGCCTGTAATCCCAGCACTTCAGGCGGCCGAGGTGGGTGGATCAACTGAGGTCAGAAGTTCAAGACCAGCCTGGCCACCATGGTGAAACCCTATATCTACTAAAGATGCAAAAAATTGCCGGGCATGTGGCATGCCCCTGTAATCCAAGCTACTCAAGAGGCTGAGGTGGGAGAATTGCTTGAATCTGGGAGGTGGAGGCGGAGGCTGCAGTGAGCTGAGATTGCGCCACTGCACTCCAACCTGGGCAACAGAAAGAGACCTCATCTCAAAAAAAAAAAAAAGGCTGGGCTCAGTGGCTCACTCCTGTAATCCCAGCACTTTGGGAGGCCGAGGTGGGCAGATTACCTGAGGTCGGGAGTTCGAGATCAGCCTGACTAACATGGAGAAACCCCGTTTCTGCTAAAAATGCAGTTAGCCAGATGTGGTGGCGCATGCCTGTAATCCCAGCTACTCAGGAGGCTGAAGCAGGAGAATCGCTTGAACCCTGGAGGCAGAGGCTGCGGTGAGCCGAGATCACTCCATTGCACTCCAGCCTGGGTAACAAGAGCAAAACTCTGTCTCAAAAAAAAAAAAGAAAAAAAAATCCCCTGGGCTGTATAGCTATGAGCATGCTCACATTTGCCAACTATTGCAGGTTACTTTTCAGAATGTCTGTAACATTTACTTTCCTATTGCTAGTGAACAAGAACTCATAGCCACATCCTCACCAGTTGGTGTGATGTGGCATGACCCGTCTTTCTAGTTTTTTCCAGTTTGATGGATGTAAAATGGCAGCTCTTGGTTGTTTTGATTTGCTTGTCTCTGGTTATAATTACATTTGAATCTTTTCATTTCTTTCTTTGTATGTAACAGTATATAGACTTTTTTAGTATGTGAAACTAAGGTATCTATATTCTTTGCCCATTTTTTATATTTTATTTTCAATGGTATTGATCTGCAGAACCTTTGTATATTCTAGATATTAATCCTTTGCTTAAAACATTGCAAATATCTTCTCTCAGTCTGTCACCTTTCTGTTAACTTTATCTGTGATGTCATTAATTAAGCAGAGATCCTAAATTTTGACTATATTATGGTTTGGAATCTTGTTCCTTAGTTTTTCTTTTTGAGACAGAGTCTTACTCTTTTGCCCAGGCTGGAGTGAAGTGGTAGGATCTCAGCTCACTGCAACCTCTGCCTCCCGGGTTCAAGCAATTCTCATGCCTCAGCCTCCTGAGTAGCTGGGACTATACGTGCATGCCACCACGCCCAGTTAAATTTTTTTACTTTTAGTAGAGACAGGGTTTTACTATGTTGATCAGGCTGGTCTCGAACTCCTGAGCTCAGGCAATCCTCCCGCCTCAGTCTCCCAAAGTGCTAGGATTAGAGGCATGAGCCACAGCGCCCGGCATAGAATTTTGTGTAGGAAGTCTTCATTTACCCTTAGGGAACAGATTTTCCTTCTTAGCTTTATAGTTTTAACTTTCACATTTAGGTCTTTAATCCATCTGGAGTCTATCTTCTAGGTGGTTTCAAGTAAAAATCCAGCTTTCTTCTCCTTGCAGTGAATTAGTTTTTCTACCACCATCTGAAAAACAATTTTCAGTGCTTTCTGATGCTACCGTTGTTACATATTAGGTTTCCTCGTATATACTTTATTTTTAAGCTCTCCATTCTATTTCATTTTTTATTTCTTTGTTTCAGTGCCCGCAACACAATGTTTTTATTGTTATGGCTTTATAGTAGAGCCATTTCTACCAATAGGGCAGGTACCCTTACCTTTTTGTCCTCTAAAATAGACTTATAGTGTAGTAATATTTCAAAAAATAATAATAAAGAAAAGAAAATAGATCTAGCATCCAGGCATGATGGCTCATGCTTATAATCCTAGTACTTTGGGAGGCCGGGGCAAGAGGATCACTTGAGGCCAGGAATTCAAGACCAGCCTGGGCAACATAGCAAGAACTTATCTCTCCAAAAAAATTTTTTTTGAATTAGCCAGGTGTGATGGCATGCACCTGTGGTTCCAGCTATGTGGGAGGCTGAGGTAGGAGGATCTCTGGAGCTTGGGCGGTTGAGGTTGCAGTGAGCTGTGATGAGATCACTACATTCCAGCCTGGGTGACACATTGAGACCCTGTCTCAACAACAACACAAATATAGACTGGGTTTTCATAGGCCTTTATTCTTTCATATTCATTTTAGAGTAAGTTGTAGATTCTCAACATTACTACTGGAATTTTATTGGAATTTCATTGAATATGTATTGATTAATTTGGAAGAGAACCAACATCTTTTCATGGAACATTTCCTGCCCAGAATTCAGCGTGGCTGGCTTTCTTCACCTTTTAGGTCTCTGCTAAAATGTCAGAGAAGCTTCCCTGACCATCCAGAATTAAGTAGCAAACTCATTCTCTGTCATTCTCTACTCTCTATCCCTTTATCTTTTTTTTTTCTTTTTTATTGAGACAGAGTCTCACTCTCTTGCCCAGGCTGGAGTGCAGTGGCACCATCTGGACTCACTACAACCTCCGCCTCCCGGGTTCAAGCGATTCTCCTGCCTCAGCCCCCCAAGTAGCTGGGATTACAGGCGTGTACTACCATGCCCAGCTAATTTTTATATTTTTAGTAGAGTTGGGGTTTCACTGTGTTGGCCAGGCTGGCCTCGAACTCCTGACCTCAAGCAATCCACTTGTCCCAGCCTCCCAAAGTTCTGGGATTACAGGCATGAGCCACCGCACCCAGCCTCTTTATTTTTTTTCTTTTTTTTTTTTTTTTTTCGAGATGGAGTCTCACTCTGTCACCCACGCTGGAGTGCAGTGGCGCGATCTCGGCTCACTGCAACCTCTGCCTACCGGGTTCACGCCATTCTCCTGCCTCAGCCTCCCGAGTAGCTGGGAGCCTGCCACCATGCCCGGCTAATTTTTTGTATTTTTAGTAGAGGTGGGGTTTCACCTTGTTAGCCAGGATGGTCTCGATCTCCTGACCTTGTGATCCACCCGCCTTGGCCTCCCAAAGTGCTGAGATTACAGGCGTGAGCCACCGTGCCCGGCCTTTTTTTTCATATTACTATCTGACTTTATTATTTTTTATTTTTAATTTTTGTCTTTTGAGATGGAATTTCACTCTTGTTGCCCAGGTTGGAGTGCAATGGCATTATCTTGGCTCACTGCAACCTCCACCTCCCAGGTTCAAGGGATTCTCCTGCCTCAGCCTCCCGAGTAGCTGGGATTACAGGCATGCACCACCATGCCTGGCTAATTTTGTATTTTTAGTAGAGACGGGCTTTCTCCATGTTGGTCAGGCTGGTCTCGAACTCCCAACCTCAAGTGATCTGCTCACCTTGGCCTCTCAAAGTGCTGGGATTACAGGCATGAGCCACCATGCCCGGCCCAATTTTAGTATTATTAGCAAGACTGTATGCTTCCTAAGGAGAGGAGCTGTGTTTTGTAGTATAGCATAATGATTAAGAGCACAAACTTTGGAATCTTAGGTTTAAATCTAAACTCCACTGCATGTATGTTGTTCAAGCTGGGTAAACCTCCGTAAGCCTTAGTTTTCTTGTCTGCAAAATGCATATGATCATAGACTGTTCCTAGAGATTGTTGTAGAGATTAAATGAGATAATCTACTCATTTAGCACAGTGCCTGGGACATAATAATTGATCAATAAATAAATATTTATGCCAGGCACTGTGTTAAATGTTTTATTTAGCAGTGTTCTAAATACTTTTTATTTCTATGAACCCCATAACCCCTACCTAGCTTAGTACTACTCATATAATTGACCTTTCAAATATTTGTTGAGTGAATGAGTGAGTGAACTTGTGAATGCTGACTTGGAGACCAAAAGAATCTTGCCTGTGTAAGCTGGTTTGTCCCAGGTTAACATTCCTCTTCAATGAGGTGGTATGTACGCCATGAGGCTCAGCATCTGTAGTAAGCAGGAGGAAATTGTGGAAAGGGGGTAGCTTTTTGACCATGGCTTTCTCCTTTTTTTTTTTTTTTTTTTTGAGACAGAGTCTCTCTCTGTTGCCCAGGCTGGAGTGCAGTGGCGCAATCTCAGCTGATTGCAACCTCCACCTCCCAGATTCAAGCGATTCTCCTGCCTCAGCCTCCCAAGTAGCTGGGATTACAGGCATGCGCCACCACACCCAGCTAATTTTTTTGTATTTTTAGTAGAGACAGGGTTTCACCATGTTGGCCAGGCTGGTCTCAAACCACTGATCTCAGGTGATCCACCCCCCTCGGCCTCCCAAAGTGCTGGAATTACAGGCGTGAGCCACCATGCCTGGCTTATTTTTTTATTTTATTTTATTTTATTTTATTTTTGAGACAGAGTCTCACTCTGTCACCCAGGCTGGAGAGTAGTGGCACAATCTCGGCTCACTGCAACCTCTGCCTCCCAAGCAATTCTCGTGCCTCAAGCGATTCTCATACCTCAGCTTCCCAAGTAGCTGGGAATGTACCACCATGCTCAGCTAAATATTTTGTATTTTTAGATAAAATTTTTAGACAGGGTTTCGCCTCGTTGGCCAGGCTGGTCTTGAACTCCTGGGCTCAAGCGATCTGCCTGCTTTGGCCTCCCAAAGTGCTAGGATTACAGGTGTGAGCCACTGTGCCTGGCCAGCTGTGGCTTTTTCACTCTGAAGAAGCCATTCACGCTTTAGTACTCTAATTTATTTCTCAGAACTGAAAAAACAAATTTTAAAAAGTTGCTCTAGGTAGCCGGGTGCGGTGGCTCACACCTGTAATCCCAGCACTTTGGGAGGCCAAGGCAGGTGGATCACAAGGTCAGGAGATTGAGACCGTCCTGGCTAACACGGTGAAACCCTGCCTCTAATAAAAATACAAAAAATTAGCCGGGCATGGTTGCAGGTGCCTGTAGTCCCAGCTACTCGGGAAACTGAGGCAGGAGAATGGCGTGAACCCAGGAGGCGGAGCTTGCAGTGAGCCGAGATGGCGCCACTGCACTCCAGCCTGGGCAACAGAGCGAGACTCCGTCACAGAAAAAAAAAAAGTTGCTCTAGGCAAAAATGTTAAAATTTACAACATTTAAGGTCACGGAGAACATGGAGAAAGGAGTACATTTTTGGAGGAAATAAAAATCAATGCCAACTCTTCTTAAGCTCATTTAGCCTAAGAAAATAATTAAGAATTTTCACAAAGGTTTAGTATAAGGATGCTTATCTTAGTGATGTGTGTGATTTAGCAAAAAATGGAAATAATTTTCCATTTTTTATTTATTTATTTTTTTGAGACAGGGTCTCGCTCTGTTGCCCAGGCTAGAATACAGTGGTGCCAACATGGCTCACTGCAGCCTTGACCTCCAGGGCTCAAACAATCCTCCCTCCTCAGACTCCCAAAGTGCTGGGGTTATAGGCGTGCACCACCATGCTTAGCGGAAATAATCTTGATGTCTAATAAAAGGGAATGGAATAATTAAATGAAACTGCACATCCATATAATAAGATACAGCTATACAAAAAGAATTTGTAGAAATGAATTTAATGGAAAAATATCCCAGATAGTTAACTTATTAACTGTGTGGCCTAAGGTAAATTACTTAACTCCTCTGCCTTAGTGTCCTTATCATTAAATGGGATACTAATAGTGCCTTCTTTATAGTGTTATCATGGGGTTTAAATGAGTTATTATATGTAATAACATTTGGGATAGTACCTGGCCTAGAGTAAACATTATATACATATAAATTGTAATTATTGTAAGAAAAGCTTTAAAATAGTATGTTAATATGCTACTTTTTTATAGTACATGTACATAGATATAATGGTATGAAAGTAAATATTTCAAAACGTTAATAAGTGGCTCACACCTGTAATCCCAGCACTTTGGAAGGCCAAGGCAGATGGATCATTTGAGGTCAGGAGTTTGAGACCAGCCTGAGCAACGTAGCAAGACCCTGTCTCTACAAAAAAATACAAAAATTAGGGGGGCATGGTGGTACACACCTGTAATCCCAGCTACTCGGGAGGCTGAGGTGGGAGAATCACCTGGGCTCAGTAGGTTGAGGTTGCAGTGAGCCAAGATGTCGCCACTGCACTCTAGCATGGGTAACAGAGTGAGACTCCATTTCAAACAATAACAACAACAACACACACAAAGAAAACATAAAACAGAGAAAGAGTGTTGCTTTAGTAGGGGAGTAAGGATGTCTGGGATTTTCCACCTTGCCTGTGCCATGCTTGTTAGCCCCTGTGGCCAGTATATGAGTGTGAAGGAGGAGTCAGCCTTCTCCATCTCCTTTGAAAAGTGATCTCCTCTTTTTTCAAATGAGAAAGGATCCCCAGGATGCTTTTAGGCAATGACAGTTTCTTTTTTTTTTTTTTTGAGACGGAGTCTTGCACTGTCACCCAGGCTGGAGTGCAGTGGTGCGATCTCGGCTCACTGCAACCTCTGCCTCCCAGGTTCAAGCGATTCTCCTGCCTCAGCCTCCCAAGTAGCTGGGATTACATGCGCCAGCCACCATGGCCAGCTAATTTTTTGTATTTTTAGTAGAGATGGGGTTTCCCTATGTTGGCCAGGCTGGTCTCGAACTCCTGACCTCAGGAGTTCCCAGCCAACAGTTTCTTGACAGATCAAATATGGGGCCCAAGGATAAAGAACCAACATTTAACTCTAGAGGCAGAGACAGGATGTGAGTCATCACACTGGCCTTTCGTCAAGTTGACTATAATTGTTTCTGTGTTTGTCCTCCGTGGTATGAATATGAACTGACAAGACTAATTTAGAAAAACAAACAAATATATCAGAAGATAAACATTTAAATAAGTAGTTTCCTTCAAAGTATTTATTTTGATAAATGAACACTTTAGCATTGTTCAAGTAATCATTGGATTTTTGGGGTGGGTTGGGGAGATGTCAAACAAATTGATTTCAAAATAGGTTTACGGTACTATTTTAGGTATGGTATTTCTTGAAGAAAAAAAGTATACCCATTACTCTTGCTAGGTTGGCCAGGCTGATCTTGAACCCTGGCCTCAAGTGATCCTCCCACCTCAGCCTTCCAAAATGCTAGGATTATAGGCATAAGCCACCATGCCTGGCCCTAAAATGGGGTTTTTTTTTGTTTTTTTAGATGCAGTTTCGCTTTTGTTGCCCAGGCTGAAGGGCAGTGGCGTGATCTCGGCTCCCTGCAATCTCCACGTCCCGGGTTCAAGTAATTCTCTTGCCTCAGCCTCCTGAGTAGCTTGGATTACAGGTGCCTGCCACCACGCCCAGCTAATTTTTCTGTATTTTTAGTAGAGACCAGGTTTCACCACGTTGGCGAGGCTGGTCTTCAACTCCTACCTCAGGTGATCCGCCCGCTTCGGCCTCCCAAAAAGTGCTGGGATTACAGGCCTGAGCCACCACGCCCAGCCACTTATATTTCTTAGTAATAAAAATCTTGAAACAGAGAAGCATTTGGCCGGGCGCGGTGGCTCACACCTGTAATCCCAGCACTTTGGGAGGCCAAGGTGGGTGGATCACAAGGTCAGGAGTTCAAGACCAGCCTGGCCAAGATGGTGAAACCCCGTCTCTACTAAAAATACAAAAAATTAGCTGGGCATGGTGGCACGTGCCTGTAATCCCAGCTACTCAGGAGGCTGAGGCAGAGAATTGCTTAAACCTGGGGAGCAGAAGTTGCAGTGAGCCGAGATCATGCCACTGCACTCCAGCCTGGGCGACAGAGTGAGACTCCGTCTCAAAAAAAACAAAAACAAAAAAAAAGAGAGAGAAGCAGTTAAATAAATTTTGGCAAACCCATTTGATGGAATATTATGCAGCCATTAAAATTATTATTATTTTAACTGAGTATCTCAGCCTTAAAATGTATTTTGTTTTTTTCTCCTCCTTTCCTTCTTAATCTTTTTTTTTTTTTTTTTTTGAGACCGCATTTCGATCTTGTTGCCCAGGCTAGAGTGCAATAGCGTGATCTCTGCTCACTGCAACCTGTGCCTCCCAGGTTCAAGTGATTCTCCTGCCTTAGCCTCCCGAGTAACTGGGATTACAGGCAGCCACTACCATGCCTGGTTAATTTTTGTATTTTTAGTAGTGACGGGGTTTCACCATGTTGGCCATGCTCGTCTCAAACTCCTGACCTCAGGTGATCCACCCACCTCGGCCTCCCAAAGTGCTGGGATTATAGGTATGAGCCACTGCACCTGGCCTTCCTTCTTAATTTTAAGATGTAGCCTTGAAACCTATTTTAGAATTATCTTCCCTCCCTTTCCCACCTGACACTTTGTTGTACCATGCACACCTATCTGAGTATATGTTCATTTAGAAATTCCAGGGGCTGACCGGGTGCAGTGGCTCATGCCTGTAATCCCAGCACTTTGGGAGGCCAAGGTGGGTGGATCACAAGGTCAGGAGTTCAAGACCAGCCTGACCAACATGGTGAAACCCTGTCTCTACTAAAAATACAAAAATTAGCCAGGCGTGGTGGTGGCGGGCACCTGTAATCCCAGCTACTCATGAGGTTGAGGCAGGAGAATCGCTTGAACCCAGGAGGCAGAGGTTACAGTGAGCTGAGATCATGCCACTGCACTCCAGCCTGGGCAACAGAGCGAGACTCCATCTCAAAAAAAAAAAAAAAAAGAAAAAAGTTCATTCCAGGGGCTGATCTTGAAACTAACCAGGCATGGAGACCCAGCGCTGAATTCTTCCCCATGAGATTACCTCAGTGAGGTTAATCAACAGTCCCGCTGCAGCTGAAATGGGGCCAGCCAGCCAGCACTCCAGGTGGACAATAACTCAACATAGTCATTGGAAAGACACATACAAGCCTGTACCCTGCATCACTCCTGCATGCTTCCCATAGCAGTTTCCATTTTTAAACAACTCCACTTAGCCCCCAAATTGGAGATGCTTTCTTTGTGACTTGAGCCCAGCCATCTCCTCAACTTCTAGAATTTAAATTAAAGCTGCAGGCCAGGCGCCTTGGCTCACACCTGTAATCTTAGCACTTTGGGAGGCCGAGGAGGGCGGATCACTTCAGGTCAGGAGTTCAAGACCAGCCTGGCCAGCACAGTGAAACCCAGTCTCTACTAAAAATACAAAAATTAGCCAGAAATCGCTTGAACCCGGGAGGTGGAGGTTGCAGTGAGCCACGATGGTGCCACTGCACTCCAGCCCGGGCAACAGAGTGAGACTTTGTCTCACTCTTAAATAAATAAGTAAATTAATTAATTAAAGCTGCAGGCCAGGCACGGTGGTTCACACCTGTGATCCCAGCACTTTGGGAGGCTAAGTTAGGAGGATAGCTTCAGCCCAGGAATTCAAGGCCAGCAACATAGCAAGGCCCCATCTGTACAAAAAAAAAAAGGCCAGATGTGGTGGCTCATGTCTGTAATCCCAGCATTTTGAAAGGCTGAGGTGAGTGGATTGCTTGAGCCCAGGAGTTTGAGACCAGCCTGGGCAACATAGCAAAACCCTGTCTCTACCCAAAAATTACAAAAAATAGCCAGGCATGGTGGTATGTGCCTGTAGTCCCAGCTACTTGGGAGGCTGAGGTAGGAGGATCTCTTGAGCCTAGGAAGAGGTTGCAGTGAGCCGAGATCATGCCACTGCACTCCAGCCTGGACAACAGTGAGACCCTGTCTCAAAAATAAAACAATAATAAAAAAATTTAGAAGGAATCAATATATCCTACAGTAATGATAGGAAACAATTTACATAGCGAAAACCATGCAACTATTTAAAGTGTTATTGTAGAAAAACTTAATGTATCATGCATATAATCCCAGCTACTTGGGAGGCTGAGGCAAGAGGATCACTTGAGCCCAAGGAGTTCAAAACCAGCCTGGGCAACATAGTGACACATGTGTCTACTAGAAAGAGATACAAAAATGGTTAATAGGGAGTGGGATTATGCATAATTTAATTTTTGTTCATATCGCTTTTTTATAAGTTTTGTTTCTTTTTTTTTTTTTGAGACAGAGTTTTGCTCTTGTTGCCCAGGCTGGAGTGCAATGGCACGATCTCGGCTCCCCGCAACCTCCGCCTCCCAGGTTCAAACAATTTTCCTGCCTCAGCCTCCCGAGTAGCTGGGATTACAGGCATGCACCACCACGCCCAGCTAATTTTTTGTATTTTTAGTAGAGATGGGGTTTCTCCATGTTGAGGCTGGTCTCGAACTCCTGACCTCAGGTGATCTGCCCACCTCGGCCTCCCAAAGTGCTGGGATTACAGGTGTGAGCCACCGCGCCCGGCTATGAGTTTTGTTTCTTTGTATGTTTTTGCGGAAGAGGGTTGAGACAGGGTCCTACTCTCTGGCCCAGGCTGGAGTGCAGTGGTGTGATCATGGCTTACTGTAGCCTCTACCTCCTGAGGCTGGGAGTTCAAGACCAGCCTGACCAACATTGAGAAACCCCATCTCTACTAAAGATACAAAAAATTAGCTGGGGATGGTGGCACATGCCTGTAATCCCAGCTACTACTACTTGGGAGGCTGAGGCAGGAGAATCGCTTGAACCCGGGAGGCAGAGGTTGCGGTGAGCCGAGATCTTCCCATTGTACTCCAGCCTGAGCAATAAGAGCTAAACTCTGTCTCGAAAAAAAAAATACATTTTTGAGGCAATTATGGAACTGTGAATAATAATTGGGTATCATGTGATATTAGGAAACTGGGCCCAAGCAATCCTTCCACTTCAGCCTCTCGAGTAGTTGGAACTACAGGTGCATGCCACCATGCCAACTAGTATTTAAATTTTTCTGTAGAGACAGGGTCTGGCTTTGTTGACCAAGCTGGTTTCGAACTCCTGGGCTCCAGCGATCCTCCCTCCTCAGCCTCCCCAAATTCTGGGATTACAAGCATGAGCCACCTCATCTGGCCAACAGTTTCCTAATATCACATGATACCCAATTATTATTCGCAGTTCCATAATTGCCTCAAAAATGTATTTTTTTTTTCGAGACAGAGTTTAGCTCTTATTGCCCAGGCTGGAGTACAATGGGAAGATTTCGGCTCACCGCAATCTCTGCCTCCCGGGTTCAAGCGATTCTCCTGCCTCAGCCTCCCAAGTAGTAGTAGCTGGGATTACAGGCATGTGCCACCATCCCCAGCTAATGTTTTGTATCTTTAGTAGAGATGGGGTTTCTCGATGTTGGTCAGGCTGGTCTTGAACTCCCAACCTCAGGTTATCCGCCTGCCTCAGCCTCCCACAGTGCTGGGATTACAGGCGTGAGCCACCACTGTTGGCCTAAAAATGTCTTTTTATGGTTTGTTTGAGTCAGGATCCACTCAAGGTCAACATGTTACATTTGCTTGTGATGTCTTTGCTTCCTTTTTAAAGTATAACATTTTCCTCCTCTCAATACCAGGAAGCCCATCTTCTTTTGGAGACCCTAGATTATCCTAGTGGCCTCCTGCGGGGAGGATATTGGTGTGGCGAGTGGATGGCAACGGTTGCGCTAGACCAGAAGTTGTAGTATTACTACCTTTTTTTTTTTGAGATGGAAGTCTTGCTCTGTTGCCCAGACTAGAGTGCAGTGGCGCACTCTTGGCTCACTGCAACCTCCACCTCCTGGGTTCAAGCGATTTTCCTGCCCGAGTAGCTCAGATTACAGGCGGCCACCACAGCACCCGGCTAATTTTTGTATTTTTAGTAGAGACGGGGTTTCACCATCTTGGCCAGACTGGTCTCGAACTCCTGACCTCATGATCCACCCGCCTCCGCCTCCTAAAGTGCTGGGATTACAGGCGTGAGCCACCGCGCCCGGCCTTTTTAGTTTGTTTGAGACAGAGTCTCGCTCTGTCACCCAGGTTGGAGTGCAGTGGCATGATCTCAGCTCACTGCAACATCCACCTCCCGGGTTCAAGCGATTCTCCTGCCTCAGCCTCCCAAGTAGGTGGGACTACAGGCACATGCCACCATGCCCAGCTAATTTTTTGTATTTTTAGTAGAGATGGGGTTACACCTTGTTAGCTAGGATGGTCTCGAGCTCCTGACCTCGTGATCCACCCACCTCCGCCTCCCAAAGTGCTGGGATTACAGGCATGAGTCACTACACCCAGCCCCTCCCTCCTCTTGAGGATTCCTTTTGCTTTTCTCCTGTATTGACTTTCCCATTTCCTGTTTCCAGAATTTTATCTAAAGTTACCTGAACTGTATCTTTGTTTGCCCTCCGGTTTTGGTAGACCATATCTGCCAGTAGTTTCTTGTGAAATGATGCATCAGAGGTAAAAATGTTTAGATCTTGTATATCTGATTATGTCTTTACCCACATGTTTGAACGATGGTGTTAATTTTTTTTTTTTTTTTTTTTTTTTTTTTTGAGTCTCGCACTCTAGCCCAGGCTGGAGTGCAGTGGCGCCATCTCGGCTCACTGCAAGCTCCGCCTCCCAGGTTGACGCCATTCTCCTGCCTCAGCCTCCTGAGTAGCTGGGACTACAGGCGCCGGCCACGACGCCCGGCTAATTTTTTGTATTTTTAGTAGAGACGGGGTTTCACCGTGTTAGCCAGGATGGTCTCAATCTCCTGACCTTGTGATCCGCCCGCCTTGGCCTCCCAAAGTGCTGGGATTACAAGGCGTGAGCCACCGTGCCCGGCTGATGTTAATGTTTTAACAAGGTACAGAATCCTAGGTTGGAAATCATCACCTTTCGGAATTTTGAAGGCATTCCTCCCTTCTTTTACTTCAAGTGTTGCCATTGAGAGGTCTAAAGCCATTCTGATCTCTGATCTGCTATGTGGGACTTGTATCTTTTCTGTTTGGAAACTGATAGAATCTTGTCTTTGTCTGCAGGTCCTGACATGTCAGTGGTGAGTCATGATATAGGTTTATTCTCATTCATTGTGCTAGGCACACAGTGGGCCCTTTCAATCTGGAAATTTGTGGAAAATATTTTAAATTATTTTATGATATCTCCTCAACTTTTTTTTTTAGACAGTCTCTGTTGCCAGGCTGGAGTGCAGTGGTGCGATTTTGGCTCACTGAAACCTCTGCCTCCTGGGTTCAAGCGATTCTCCTGCCTCAGCCTCCCGAGTAGCTGGGATTACAGGTGACCACCACCATGCCCGGCTAATTTTTGTATTTTTTAGTGGAGACGGGGTTTCACCATGTTGACAAGGCTAGTCTTGAACTCCTGACCTCAAGTGATTAGCCTCCCTCAGCCTCCCAAAGTGCTGGGATTACAGGCGTGAGCCACTGCGCCCGGCCATAAATAAATATTTAATTAAAATAAATTAAGAAAAAGCTTTCTCTCTGCATTGTCTCAATTTCCTACAAGTTTCTTTCTTCCTTTTTTAAATTTTGCTAAGTGTTTTATAATCACAACAAACTAGTACAGAGAATGCCCTGTACAAAACACAATAAAGGTTCAAAGACCGAGGTGTTCCCTTAGCAAGGCTGAAAATTTCAGTCTCTGGTATTTGGAATTTAGGGTGCAGTCCTTGTTTTTGGATGGATACTGGGTGTGTGGCACAGTCCATGCTTTTAAACAGATTTGAACAGAAGAATGGCCATTTGGCCCAGGTAAAAGCAGATGAAGTGGCTGGGCGTGGTAGCTCACGCCTGTCATCCCAGCACTTTGGGAGGCCGAGGCGGGCGGATCACCAGAGGTCAGGAGTTCAAGACCAGCCTGGCCAACATGGTGAAACTCTGTCTCTACTTAAAATACAAAATCAGCCGGGCATGATGGCGCATGCCTGTAATCCCAGCTACTCAGGAGGCTGAGGCAGGAGAATTGCTTGAACCCGGGAGGTGGAGGTTGCAGTGAGCCAAGATTGCGCCATTGCACTCCAGCTCTGGGCTATGGAGCAAGACTCCATCTCAGAAAAAAAAAGAAAAAAGTAGATGAAGTATTTGGTTTTTAGAGATGACAGCATGCTGGCAGCCCTCACAGCCCTCGCTCGCTCTCCGTGCCTCCTCTGCCTGGGCTCCCACTTTGGCGGCACTTGAGGAGCCCTTCAGCCCGCCACTGCACTGTGGGAGCCCCTTTCTGGGCTGGCCAAGGCCAGAGCCGGCTCCCTCAGATTGCGGGGAGGTGTGGAGGGAGAGGCGCGGGCGGGAACTGGGGCTGCGCTTGGTGCTTGCGGGCCAGCACAAGTTCCGGGTGGGCGTGGGCTCGGCGGACCCCGCACTCGGAGCCGACGGCCGGCCCCGCCAGCCCCAGGCAGTGAGGGGCTTAGCACCTGGGCCAGCAGCTGCTGTGCTCAATTTCTCGCCGGGCCTTAGCTGCCTTCCCGCCGGGCAGGGCTCGGGACCTGCAGCCCGCCATGCCTGAGCCTCCCCCCACGTCCATGGGCTCCTGTGCGGCCCAAACCTCCCCGACAAGCGCTGCCTCCTGCTCCCCGGAGCCCACTCCCATCGACCACCCAAGGGCTGAGCAGTGCGGGCGCACAGCATGGAACTGGCAGGCAGTTCCACCTGCAGCCCCAGTGCGGGATCCGCTGGGTGAAGCCAGCTGGCCTCTTGAGTCTGGTGGGGAAGTGGAGAACCTTTGTGTCTAGCTCAGGGATTGTAAACGCACCAATCAGCGCCCTGTCAAAACAGACCACTCGGCTCTACCAATCAGCAGGATGTGGGTGGGGCCAGATAAGAGAATAAAAGCAGGCTGCCCGAGCTAGCAGCGGCAACCCCTTCGAGTCCGTTTTCACGTTGTGCAAGCTTTGATCTTTCGCTCTTTGCAATAAATCTTGCTGCTGCTCACTCTTTGGGTCCACACTGCCTTTATGAGCACACTCACCGCGAAGGTCTGCAGCTTCACTCTCCTGAGCCAGCGAGACCACGAACCCCACCAGAAGGAAGAAACTCTGAACACATCCGAATATCAGAAGGAACAAACTCCGGACACGCCGCCTTTAAGAACTGTAACACTCACCGCGAGGGTCCGCGGCTTCATTCTTGAAGTCAGTGAGACCAAGAACTCACCAATTCCGGACCAAGTTTCCTGTGTCATGTAACTAGCGAAATTCCTCCCCACGATGCAATGCCAGATGGGATTTTACTTGTCAAATTACTTCTTGGTATGAGCTGCAATGTCCTTCTCTATGTTATATTTCTCCAGCGCCTGAGTCACACACTCCGCCGAGTCCTGTTGTCTCTTCCGACATGTCTGCGATTTTTTATCACAGTCTTTCGGTCACACATGGTTACCGTGGGGAAGGGGCCTGGCTGACTGCAACGGTCTGCTGGGGGAGGTGCTACCATCTCTGAGGCCCGGCTGGAGATGCCGTCGCTATCGACGCCTTGGCGCGTCTCACAAGTTTCTTTCGTTTTGGTCTCTATCTTTTCTCTTAGAGGAAAGCCTTGTGTTTGGTAACCCTTGGCATCCTGCCCATGAATAAAAGTTGGGGACTAAAAGCTGATTGGAAGTTCTGTGCATGAAGATGGGAGACACCAGCCATTAGGTCATTTGTCTATGAGCCAGTGTCCCTTAGGTCATTGATCATGAAGAGCTGTTTTGAGATCCCAGTGCCATTATCTTTAGATCTTTCATGTTTGGCTTCATTTTCCCCAAAGAAGAAGACTCATTTGCCCAGCATTCTGGGAGCAGAGTGCGGGAAAAGCCAACCAAATCCTAATTCCCCTTTTTTGAAATAGGGCCATTAGCTGTGCCTGCTGACCCTTATTCCAGAGATTGTCTGTTTTACTCTCTCAAGAGAATAAACCTCTGTACTTTTGCCGAGAGGCTGCAGTGGGGGAAGTGAACTAGGTCTTCCACCAGTCCTTGTGGTTTCAGCTGCACTTCACCCCTACTTCCAGGGTTACCAAAGGTATGTTAATTCCTGAGTATATCTGACTACTTCACTTTCTCATTTCTGGCCCAGATGCAGTATTCTTGGGCCTGCCAGGCTTATTCCTACTCATCTTTTTTTCTACCTGGAACATTCTTTTTTTTTTTTTTTTTTTGAGAGGGAGTCTCCCTCTGTCCCCCAGGCTGGAGTGCAGTGGCGCAATCTCGGCTCACTGCAAGCTCCGCCTCCCGGGTTCACGCCATTCTCCTGCCTCAGCTTCCCGAGTAGCTGGCACTACATGCGCTCGCCACCACGCCTGGCTAATTTTTTGTATTTTTAGTAGAGACGGGGTTTCACTGTTAGCCAGGATGGTCTCAATCTCCTGACCTCATGATCCGCCCACCTCGGCCTCCCAAAGTGCTGAGAGATTACAGGCGTGAGCCACCACGCCCGGCCCTACCTGGAACATTCTATTGCATTTACTGCCCCATCATTACAAATACGGCCCACTGCAGCCTCGACCTCCTGGGCTCAAGTGATCCTCCCGCCTCAGCTTCCCATGTAGCTGGGACCACAGGCACTAGCCACCAAACCCAGGTCATTTAAAAAAATTTTTGTAGAGATGGGGTCTCACTTTGTTACCTAGGCTGGTCTCAAACTCTTGGGCTCAAGCAGTTCTCCCACCTCAGCCTCCCAAAGTGTTGGGATTATAGGCATGAGTCACTGTGCTGGGCCAATATGCTGTTATTAACTATAGTTACCATGTTGTTCAATAAATCTCTTAAACTTATTCCTCATGTCTAACTGAAATTTTGTATCCTTTGAGTAACATCTTCCCAATTTCCCCATCCACAAAATGCAATTTTTGATTTTGAGAGACACATTTTTCCTACTTTTTTTTGTCTATGAAGTCAAAATGCTTAGCAGAGGTCCAAGTATATCGTAAGCATTCAATAAACACTATTTTAGGGCTGGGCATGGTGGCTTACACTTGTATTCCCAGCACTTTGGGAGGCCAAGGCAGGCGGATCACCTGAGGTCAGGAGTTCAAGACCAGCCTGACAAACATGGTGAAACTCTGTCTCTACTAAAACTACAAAAATTAGCCAGGCATGGTGGCGCACACCTGTAATCCCAGCTACTCAGGAGGCTGAGGCAGGAGAATCGCTTGAACCTAGGAGGTGGAGGTTGCACTGAGCCAAGATCGCACCACTGTACTCCAGCCTGGGCGACAGAGTGAGACTCCATCTCAACAACAACAAAAACACTGAAGACATGATTACTATTATGCACACTAAACCATAGTTAACATTCTGAAACCTGTTTATTCCACATAATGCAATCTTCTAGCCATTCTTCTACATCAGTATAAGTAGAGCTACCTTACTCTCATTAAAGTTATATGATATATATATTTTTTTACTTCAAGTTATGTTTTGCTTTTTTTTAAATTTTATTATTATTATACTTTAAGTTTTAGGGTACATGTGCACAACGTGCAGGTTTGTTACATATGTATACATGTGCCATGTTGGTGTGCTGCACCCATATATGATATTTTATAGAATATATGTACTATTAATCATTCCTCCATTAATGGATATCTTTCATAGTTTTTCTTTTCTTTTTAATTTTTTTTTAACAAATAGAGATGGGGGGGTCTCACTTGTTGCCCAGGCTAGTTTCAAACTTCTGGGCTCAAGCAATCCTCTGACCTCGGCCTCCCAAAGCACTGGGATTACAGGTGTGAGCCACTGCGCCTGGCCTTTTTCTTTAATTTAAAAAAAAAAAAAAAGAACTTTTTTCTGAAATATCAATAGTAGACACCCTGGTAAAACATCTTTATATATTATGCTAGTATTTCTGCAACATAAAGACCTGGAGGTAGAATCACTCCATTCTACTCGTATGGAAAATGTCTAATAGAAGTTTCCATTGTGAAACAGGCATGTGAGTCATTAATTAGGACCCTGATTTGGGCAGGCAATATGTAAATACGGGATCACTTGACCCCAGGAGTTTGAGACCAATCTAGGAAACTGGCAAAACCCTGTCTCTACTAAAAATACAAAAATTAGCCAGGCATGGTGGCACATGCCTGTAATCCCAGCTACTCAGGAGGCTGAGGCACGAGAATTGCTTGAACCCAGGAGGCAGAGGTTACAGTGAGCCGAGATCACGCCACTACACTCCAGTCTAGGCAACAGAGTGAGAATCTGTTTCAAAAAATAAAAAGAAGAAGAAGAAAAAAGAACACCTAAATCCCAATCATGGCTCTGCCCCTTATCTTGGGAGTTATTGTTTGTTTTTCACTAATTTATTCAAAAATATTTATAGAATTATCTCTACTCTGTGCCAAGCAGTGTTAGGGCCTAGAAATACAGACTTGAAAAATACACAGTCCTTGGCCGGGCATGGTGGCTCATGCCTGTAATCCCAACACTTTGAGAAGTCGAGGCGGGTGGATCACCTGAGGTCAGGAGTTCGAGACCAGCCTGGCCAACATAGTGAAACCCCATCTCTACCAAAAATACAAAAAATTAGCTGGGCGTGGTGGTGGGTGCCTGTAATCCCAGCTACTTGGGAGGCTGAGGCTGGAGAATCGCTTGAACCTGGGAGGTGGAGGTTGCAGTGAGCCAAGATTGCACCATTGCACTTCAGCCTGGGCTACAAGAGTGAAACTCTGCTCAAAAAAAAAAAAAAAGAAAAAGAAAAAGAAAAAAGAAAAATACATAGTCCTTGCCCTTAAGAAATTTACACTAATTGTTGGGGGGACAGACACAAACAGATGCTACTTGCTAACCATGTGACCTTGGAAAATTGCTTAACATCATATGTGTCTGTTTCTTTTTCTGTAAAATGGGTAATTGTCCTCATATCACAGGGTTGTCATGAGGATTAAGTGAAATAATGGGGAATGCCCTGCACAGTGCCTGGCACACAATATGCACTCAATTAATGGATGCTATCATTGTTGTTTTAGTAATAATATATAATAAGTAATTTGTTATGGTTGCTGTGATAGAAATTCTACCTGTCTGAACTCCAGTTTCTACAATATTAAATGAATTGTTGAGATAATAATACAACATATACTAAGTGGTACTCAATAAGTATTAGTTTATTTTCCTGCATTTTTATGTTGAGACAAAGGACCGGTATGCAGATGGAGACACAAACATCTATATGTCTGGACACAACATTGATCTTCCTGGTTCATGTGTCACAGAGCCAATTCTGTGCACTTCCTTAGGCACACAGATTTCACCTGTGGCCATATCTGAACATATGGAACAAGACTGCATACCTCCCTGCTGATAGCCACAAGTAATCATGGAGACAGGATGTTCATACTGCCCAGGGCTGATGGTTGCCTCCTGTGGAATTATTTTTTCCCTTGTAGTTTACAAAGCACAGCAGTGTGGTACAGCTTGTACCACATTCTTAATGGGGTCACTTTTTTGTCTGACACTGATTTTTGCAAAATAGTTCATTTTCCTTCCTGCATGTGTATAAAACAAGAATTAAAGGAAGTATATCTTGATACCAAGGATTCTAAACTTCAGTTATTAATTAAATTTAAAGATAATTCTAGAGGCAAATTTTGGCAGAATTAAATGATAGAATGAAGTTCTTTACTTTCTTGGAGGGTTTTAAAAGCACCAATATTTATTTTTCCTTTCTGGATGTGTGCTTAGCTACATAGAATTCCACATTCCCCTGATTTTTGACTAGCTGACCCTCCTTACAGAGGTAGTGTGGTGTAATTGTCTAGAGCTCACATTTGGAGTCAGGAATATCTGGGTTTGAACTCTAGTTCTTCTATTTTATTGTCTCTGGGATCTCAGGCAAAAATCTCCAAAGCTCATTTCCTTACCTGTAAAATGAGAAATAATAATATAATTAAACTATGATATCAGCCTTTTGGAATGAACATGAGAGTTAAAGGAGATAATAATGTAAACTGCTTAACACAGAGCTCAGAGTAAGCACTTTTAATTTTTAGCTATGATCATGATCTTTTTTTTTTTTTAGATGGGAGACTCTCTGTTGCCCAGGCTGGGGTATAGTGGTGCAATCTCAGCTCACTGCAACCTCCGCCTCCTAGGCTCAAGCAATTCTCCTGCCTCAGCCTCCTGAGCAGCTAGGACTACAGGCACATGCCACCACGCCCAGCTTTTTTATTTTTTTTTCCGTATTTTTAGTGGAGACAGGCTTTCACCATGTTGGCCAGGCTGGTCTCAAAACTCCTGACCCCAGGTGATCTGCCTGCCTCAGCCTCCCAAAGTGCTGGAATTACAGGCTTGAGCCATCATGCCCGGCCGATCATGACCATTTAAATTTTCATTAAGGTACTTCATGCAGTGCTTGGCACATGGTTGATGCTCAAACCTATAGCTATTGCAATAAGTTACCTACAGTTTCCAACTGCTAGGGTTATGGCTTTGTTATTTATTTTTTAAAAATTGTTAGTGATTAACACGATCTTTAGCCTAGTACCTAGGAACTTGTCTCATCATCTTGGTAACTGACAAGGCCTGGCACCATGCCTGGCATCATGCCTGGCACGTAGTAGGCACTCAGTACATAGCTGTTGAATCATATTAAATTGAAATGAATATCCATTCAGACATTAGCACAAGAGCTGTGTCACTAAATAGCTGTCATTGCAAAATTTACAGACAACAATGACACAGACATGCTTGCATAGTTTGTAAGCCACGATTTCAACTTCCTGCATTGCAGACATCTCAATTAATAATCCCATTCCACTCACATGATCCTTAGAAAGAAAGGGCAAACTAATAGAAATATCTGGTTTAGCAACTAAAAGAATGAGCTCTAGTCTAGGTAGATAGAGGCTTACATCCTGGCTTCAATATCACCTAGTGGGTCAGTTACTTAATCTCTGAGTTTCAGTTTTCTTATCTGTGAGAAGGGAATAATAATAGAATCTATTTAATGAAGTTATTGTGAGAATAGTGCCTTCCAACTGCTGTTCTCTTTGCCTGAAACACTCGTTTCATGAAGGGTGAAACCCCATGTTTGGATTTTGTGTGTGTGTGTGTGTGTGTGTGTGAGAGAGAGAGAGAGAGACAGAGAGACAGGGTCTCGCTCTGTCGCCCAGGCTGGAGTGAAGTGACTTGATCTTGGCTCAATGCAACCATCGCCTCCCAGGCTCAAGCTATTCTCCTGCCTCAGCCTCCCAAGTAGCTAGGATTATAGGCATGTGTCACCATGCCCAGCTAATTTTTGTATTTTTATTTATTTTTTGAAATTATCTTTTTTTCTTTTTTTCTTTTTTTTTTTTGAGACAGGGTCTCACTCTGTCACCCAGACTGGAGTGCAGTGGTGTGATCTCAGCTCATGGCAACCTCCGCCTCCCAGGCTCAAGGGGATTTTCCTGCCTCAGCCTCCCAAGTAGCTGGGATTACAGTCACGTGCCACTACTGCCCAGCTAATTTTTGTATTTTTAGTAGAGTCAGGGTTTCACCATGTTGGCCAGTCTGGTCTCGAACTCCTGACCTCAAGTGATCCACCGGCCTCGGCCTCCCAAAGTACTGGGATTACAGGCTTGAGCTACCCTGCCTGGCCTCCATGTTTCACCTTGTTAATTCCCCCGATTTTTCAGCTTGACTGTCACTTCTTCCAGAATGCCTTCCCTGCCGCCCATGGTAGGTTGGGTTCACTGTTATACTCTCCCTGTAGCACCTGTCAATTACTCTTTATAATTACTTTCTTTTTTTTTTTTTTTTTTTTTTTTTTTTTTGTGGAAATAGTCTTGCTCTGTTGCTCAGGCTGGAGTGCAATGGCGAGATCCCAGCTCACTGCAACCTCTGCCTCCTGGGTTCAAGCAATTCTCCGGCCTCAGCCTCCCAAGTAGCTGGTATTACAGGCACCTGCCACCACACCCGGCTAAGTTTTTTTGTATTTTTATTAGAAACGGGTTTTCACCGTGTTGGCCAGGCTGGTCTCGATCTCCTGACCTCAGGTGATCCACCTGCCTCTGCTTCCCAAAGTGCTGGGATTACAGACATGAGCCACTGTGCCCGGCCTATAATTACTTCTTAAACTATTCCCTTCCTTTCTGAACTGTGAATTCCCAAAGGAGAGGGATAGTGTCTGTTTCATTTATTCCTGTCTCCAATGTCTAATAGTCTCTTGGTTCATAATATTTTGGGTGGACTGTTCTCGTTAACTCTGTGAAAAAAACAAGATAATAATGCACATAAATACAGAGCCCAACATTTAGCAAACTCTTAATAAATGAGATTTGTTAGTAGTATTAACAACAGAGTATTGTACTGAGTTTACTTGCCTTGAGAAAACTAATGGGAAGAGCAACAAATTAAGATAGGTATTGTGAATCTAGCTCTGTATCTCACTTGTGATATGCCCTTGACGAAATGTCTGTTCTTCTCATTTTTCCACTATTTAAATGAACATAAGATATTCATCCTGGTGTCCCACTTAACTTGGTTGCCGTAAAGTCTGCCTTTTGCCAGACCACACCTGAAATGCTGTCCTGCGTGCCCCCAGTTTCTAGATTCCATACTATCCTTGTGCTTCTCTGCCTTCTCAGCTATTATTGACCCCTGACCTTTCTCCCTTCTATTTCTGTCTAGCTCCTCAGTTTGTTACACCAATTGGCTACCTCCCAGCTTTTAGCTTTGAAATACATTTGTCCTCATGATAAAGACCAAAATCCTTAAGATGCTAATGGAAGCCTCATCTTCTTCCTGCTGTCTTGCTCACTGTGCTCCGGCCACCTGGCTACCCTGAGGTTTCCCAGAGGCACGAATCTCCCTGACCAAGGCCTTTGGACCCAACAGTCCTTACGCTTGGAGCAGCATCCCCACCTCTTTATCGGATTCACCCCCAGTCAACTCCTGTTTCAGCTTTAGCAGCACTTCTTCAGGGAGCATTACTTAGCTTCCTTGGAAGAAATTAGGTTTCTCTGTTATATGCCACCTTCCGTATAGATCAGTGTAATACACTGTCAGGACTTCACACTTTATTGTATTTTATTTAATTCTTTTCTTGTCTTTTCTTTTCTTTTGAGACAGAGTCTTGCTCTGTCGCCCACGGTGGAGTGCAGTGGTGCAATCTCGGCTCACTGCAACCTCCGCCTCCCGGGTTCAAGCGATTCTCCTCCCTCAACCTCCTGAGTAGCTGGGATTACAGGCACGCGCTACCGCATCCGGCTAATTTTTGTATTTTTAATAGAGACAGGGTTTCACCATGTAGGCCAGGCTGGTCTCGAACTCCTGACTTCAGGTGATCCACCTGCCTTGGCCTCCCAAAGTGCTGGGATTACAGGCATGAGCCACCACGCCCGGCCTTATTTATTTCTTAATTTACAAAAATTGTTTCCAGGCTGGGCATAGTGGCTCACACCTTTAATCCCAGCACTTTGGGAGGCCTAGGCAGGCGGATCACCAGAGGCCAGGAGTTCGAGACCAGCCTGCCCGACATGGTAAAACCCTCTCTCTACAAAATAAAAAACCAAAAACCAAAATTAGCCGGGTGTGATGGGGTGTGCCTGTAGTCCCAGCTGCTCAGGAGGCTGAGGCAGGAGAATTGCTTGAACCTGGGAGGCGGAGGTTGCAGTGAGCCGAGATCCACCACTGCATTCCAGCCTGAGCGACAGGGCCAGACTCCGTCTCAAAAATAAATAAACAAATAAATAATTTGGCCGGGGGCACGGTGGCTCACGCCTGTAATCCCAACACTCTGGGAGTCCGAGGCGGGTGGATCACGAGGTCAGGAGATCAAGACCATCCCGGCTAACACGGTGAAACCCCGTCTCTACTAAAAATACAAAAGCCAGGCGCAGTGGCTCACGCCTGTAATCCCAGCACTTTGGGAGGCCGAGGCGGGCGCACCACGAGGTCAGGAGATGGAGACCATCCTGGCTAACACGGTGAAACCCCGTCTCTACTAAAAATACAAAAAAAAATTAGCTGGGCGTGGTGGCGGGCGCCTGTAGTCCCAGCTACTCGGGAAGCTGAGGCAGGAGAATGGCGTGAACCCGGGAGGTGGAGCTTGCAGTGAGCCAAGATCTTGCCACTGCACTCCAGCCGGGGCCACAGAGCGAGACTCCGTCTCCAAAAAAAATAAAAAATAAAAATAAATAAAAATAAAAATACAAAAAATTAGCCGGGCATGGTGGCGGGCGCCTGTAGTCCCAGCTACTCGGGAGGCTGAGGCAGGAGAATGGCATGAACCTGGGAGGCGGAGCTTGCAGTAAGCAGAGATGGTGCCACTGCATTCCAGCCTGGGGGACAGAGCGAGACTCCCTCTCACAGATTAAAATAAATTAAAAATAAAATAAAATAAAATAATAAAATAAAATATAAAATAAAATTAAAACATAATAAAAATAAAAAAAAATCTTTTTTGAGACAGGGTCTCACTCTGGTTGCCCAGGCTGGAATGCAGTGGTGCGATCTCGGCTCACTGCAGCTTCGACCTCTCACGCTTCAGATGATTCTCCCACCTCAGCCTCCCAAGTAGCTGGTACTACAGATGCGTGCCACCACACCCGGCTAATTTTTTGTATTTTTAGTAGAGACCGAGGTTTCGCCATGTTGACCCAGGCTGGTCTCAAACTCCTGGACTCAAGCAATCCCCTCGTCTCAGCCTCCCAAAGTGCTGAGATTATAGGCGTGAGCCACTGCGCCCGGCCCAGAGACGGAGTTTAGCTCTTTTTGCCCAGCCTGAAGTGCAGTGGTGCGATCTCAGGTCACCGCAACCTCCGCCTCCCGGGTTCAAGCGATTCTCCTGCCTCAGCCTCCGGAGTAGCTGGGATTACAGGCATGCTCCACCACGCCCAGCTAATTTTGTATTTTTAGTAGAGACGGGATTTCTGCGTGTTGGTCAGGCTGGTCTCGAACGCCTGACCTCAGGTGATCCGCCCGCCTCGGCCTCCCAAAGTGCTGGGATTACAGGCGTGAGCCACTGCACCCGGCAGATCTTCACATTTTAAAAGAGAAATTAAGAATTCAGACTTGAATGTAAAATTCCTGGGGTTAAAATGTAAATCACTGTGGGCCAAATATCTGTAGGTTAGTGACTGCCTATGGCCTGCCTATTTGCAACCTGTGCTGCTCAACCTTTAGCTATACTTGGTAAGTATTTCTGTGTTAATCATCACTCCATCATCATTCCACCTATTAACTGTCCACTCCATGCCAGGCACTGTCTTGGTGCTTTACGCAGATGATTTCATGTAATCTCCAAAACCATCTGTGAGGTCAAGTAAGGTTCAGAGAGGTTAAGACGCTTGCCCACGGTCAGGAAGTGGTGGAACCAGATGCTATAGGTCTTTCCAATAGACTTTTGTGTGTCCAGGTACAATTTGTCAGTTTAGAATGGGAGGGCCTTGAATCTTAAATTCAGCTGGAGAAAAAAAAAGGATGAGAGAGGCTCTGAAGCTCTGCCTGACAATGACAATAACCATTAATATTTGTTGCGTGCTCACTGTGTGCCAGGCCTTGTGCTAAGCGCTTTATGTGATCTAATTTAATCCTCACAACACCTATGTAAAGGAGCTGCTGTTATCATCCCCATTTTATAGATGAGGAAACTGAAGTGTAGAATAGGTATCTGATTGCTGTGCACGGTGGCTCACGCCTGTAATCCCAGCACTTTGGAAGGCTGAGGCAGGCAGATCACCTGAGACCAGGAATTAGAGACCAGCCTGGCCAACATGGTGAAACTCTGTCTCTACTAAAAATACAAAAAATTAGCCGGGCATGGTGGCAGGCGCCTGTGAGGCAGGAGGATTGCTTGAACCCAGGAGGCGGAGGCTTCAGTGAGCCGAGATCACACCATTGCACCCCAGCCTGGGCAACAAGAGCGAAACTCAATCTCAAAAAAAAAAAAAAAAAAAGAATAGGTATCTGATTTACCCAAGGTATAGAACAGGTATCTGATTTACCCGAGGTAAAGACAGAATTCAAATGCAGACAATTGAATGCCACAGCTCCCTGCTTTTAGCAATTTGGTTTTGTGGCAGATTATGGGATGATGACAGCAAAAAGGGAGAAATCTGTAAATCAGTCTTTCTCCAATCCAGAGCCTAATAGAGGACTCAATTGAAAGAAGAATCCCACCAGGTACTTCCAGGAACCTGATATTGAGAGATGTGGCCGGCAGGTGGCAGCAACATTCATAGTTTCTTCTCTAAATTCAGCAATGTTCAAAGCTATAGAGAGGAAACTATAAATTCACACTCATCATTTGCATATTATCTTCTGATGGGCCCAATCCATTCTTTGCCAATAAATGTGACTTTTAGTTTCTTAGCTCAGTGAGAACTGCCAGGCTTGAGAGAACCCTCAGGATTTGAAGCTGCAGTGAAATCATCCAATCCAACAAGCATCGTGGTGATTTTATTTATTTATTTTATTATTATTATTTATTTCTTTTAGATGTAGGGTCGCACTTTGTCGCCCAGGCTGAAGTGCCATGGTACGATCATAGCTCACTGTAACCTCGAACTCCTGGGCTCAAGCGATTTTCCTGCCTCAGCCTCCTGAATAGCTGAGACTGTAGGCATCCACCACAGCTGGCTCATTTTTATTATTTTAATTTTTATAGAGATGGGAGTCTTGCTGTGTTGCCCAGGCCAGTCTTGAACTCCTGTGCTCAAGAGTGACCCTTCTGGCCGGGCGTGGTGGCTCACGCCTGTAATCCTAGCACTTTGGGAGGCCAAGGCGGGAGGATCACGAGGTCAGGAGATCGAAACCATCCTGGCTAACATGGTGAAACCCAGTCTCTACTGAAAATACAAAAAATTAGCCAGGTGCAGTGGCAGACGCCTGTAGTCCCAGCTACTCAGGAAGCTGAGGCAGGAGAATTGCTTGAACCGGGAGGCGGAGGTTGCAGTGAGCCAAGATCGCGCCACTGCACACCAGCCTGGGCAACAGAGCGAGACTCCATCTCAAAAAAAAAAAAAGAGTGAGCCTTCTGCCTTGGCCTCCCAAAGTGCTGGTCCAGGCCCATTATGGTGATTTTAAACTGTTCAGTGGAACTGTATTTTAGTGATTCCCAACCCTTTTTGAGTTTGCGTTTTAAAAAATTATTTGGCTGGGTGTAGTGGTTCACGTCTGTAATCCCAGCACTTTGGGAGGCTGAGGCAGGTGGATCACCTGAGGTCAGGAGTTTGAGACCAGCCTGGCCAACATGGTGAAACCTCGTCTCCACTAAAAATACAAAAAATTAGCTGGGCATGGTGGCATGTGCCTATAATCCCAGCTACTCTGGAGGCTGAGGCAGGAGAATCGTTTGAACCTGGGAGGCAGAGGTTGCAGTGAGCCGAGATAGCGCCATTGCACTCCAGCCTAGGGGGATAAGAGTGAAACTCCATCTCAAAAAAAAAAAAAAAAAATCAATAGCACAAAAGGGTATACGGTGAAAAGTCAATCTTTCTAGCATACTTACCCCAAATCCCACTATCTTCCTACCCCAGAGGAAAGCTGTGTATTCTTTCAGGTTTAGACTGAATAGAAAAGTATATGCATGGGCAGGTGTGGTGGATCATGCCTGTAATCCCAGCACTTTGGGAGGACGAGGCGGGAGAATCACTTGAGCTCAGGAGTTCAAGACCAGCCTGGGCAACATGGCAAAACTCTGTCTCTACAAAAAACACAAAAAAATTAGCAGTGTATGGTGGTGTGCACCTGTAGTCCCAGCTAGTTTGGAGGCTGAGGTGAGAGGATCACCCGAGCCTGGGAGGTCAAGGCTGCAGTGAGCCATGATCGGCTGCTGCACTCCAGCCCTGGTGACAGAGTGAGACTCTATCCCAAATAATCCTTTTAAAAAATGGCGATCTAAAAATATACACGGCCAGGTACAGTGGCTCATGCCTGTAATCCCAGTACTGTGGGAGGCCGAGGTGGGTGGATCACCTAAGGTCAGGAGTTCGAGGCCAGCCGGACCAACATGGTGAAACCTCATCTCTACTAAACATACAAAAAATTAGCCGGGCATGGTGGTGGCAAGGGTTGGGGATCACTAAAACACAGCTACTTGGAGGCTGAGGCAGGAGAATCGCTTGAACCCAGGAGGTGGAGGTTGCGGTGAGCCGAAATCACGCCATTGCACTCCAGCCGGGCAACAACAGTGAAACTCCATATCAAAAAAATAAAAATAAAAATAAAACTATACACTTATAGAAGAAAATTTAGGGGGACATTTTTGTGATCTTGGATTAGGCAAAGATTTCTTAGATATGATACCATCCATAAGATTAAAAAATGGAAATATTGGACTTACTCAAATATTTTATTTATTTATTTTTATTTTATTTATTATTTTTTTGAGATGGAGTTTTGCTCTTGTTGCCCAAGCTGGGGTGCAATGGCCCGATCTCGGCTCACTGCAAACTCCTCCTCCTGGGTTCAAGCAATTCTCCTGCCTCAGCCTCCTGAGTAGCTGGGATTATAGGCTTGCGCCACCACGCCCAGCTAATTTTTTTGTATTTTTTAGTAGAAATGGGGTTTCACCATGTTAGCCAGGCTGGTCTTGAACTCCTGACCTCAGGTGATCTGCCCGCCTCAGCCTCCCAAAGTGTTGGGATTACAGGCGTGCGCCACCGTGCCCAGCTAATTGTTTTGTATTTTTAGTGGAAACGGGGTTTCACCATGTTAGCCAGGCTGGTCTTGAACTCCTGACCTCAGGTGATCTGCCCGCCTCAGCCTCCCAAAGTGTTGGGATTACAGGTGTAAGCCACCATGCCTAGCTTTCAAAAATTTTAAATTCTGCTGTGTGAAAGATTCTGTAAAGAGAATGAAAAGACAAGCCACAGGCCGGTCGCAGTGGCTCACACCTGTAATCCCAGCACTTTGGGAGGCCGAGTTGGGTGGATCACGAGGTCAAGAGATCGAGACCATCCTGGCCAACATGGTGAAACCCGTCTCTACTAAAAATACAAAAATTAGCTGGGTGTGGTGGCATGCACCTGTAATCCCAGCTTCTCGGGAGGCTGAAGGGCTGAGACAGGAGAATCGCTTGAACCTGGGAGGCATAGGTTGCAGTGAGCTAAGATAGCGCCACTGCACGCCAGCCTGGCGATAGAGCAAGACTCTGTCTCAAAAAAATAAATAAATAAATAAAATAAAGAAGAAGGAAAGACAAGCCACAGATTGGGAGAACATATTTGTAAATCACATATCTGATAAGTATCACCCGCAAAATCTCCTCTCATCCCCCTTCTAGACACTGCTCTCTCACCCCAAAGGGTAGCTGCTATCCTGGCCTTGAACAGAATATTTTTGCTTGTCTTGTATTTTATCCACATGAAATCAAACATAGTACTGTGGTCTGGCTTCTTTCACTTAACATTATTTGTGAGAATCATCTATATGGTTGAGTATGGTATGTTATAGGGCACAAAAGGCGTAAGGGACAACAAACATTTTGCAAAGAATTTTTAGCACCACTGAGTTTTCTGTCAAGATGATAGCTAGCCATTATCTTGAAAACTAGGTGATGGACTGGATCTAATGGAGCACATGGATGAATCTGAGCACTGCAAGGGATGGTCTGGGAGGTTTTGTACCTTTCCTTCCATCCTCTCAGCCTTCCCAATGGGCAAAGCTTTTGAAAACAATTCAGTGAGGGCTTCAATTCTCCTTGTATCTTTCTCTCTGTTCTGGAGCTTTTCCTAAACCATAATGTAGGATACTGGTGAGTGCCTACCCAGAAGTGCAAGGGAAGTTGATGCCTCCTGGGGAAATCCAAACCAATGGAGGATATAAACCAAGGGTTAAATGCTTCTCTGGCAGTCTTTTGGAAGACCATAATGAGAGGCATTACAGAACTCAGATGGGGAGTCTCTGAGCCCGCTTTGGTTCAGGAGGCTGCCCAATTTAAAAAAAAAGAAAAAAGAAAAAAAGAAAGAAAGAAAGAAAATTATCAGATGGGCTTGGTAGGATCCAGCCCCAGGTGCCCACAGCAGTGAACACTTTGTTAATACATCCTTGTGTTGGCTTTTTTCCTCTTCCTATTTTATTCTGGACTTTTACTTTAAATCCCTGGGATCACCTTCTAAGTAAATTACCTGTAACTAACACCTGTCTTAGGTTCTACTTTCTGGATGGAATCTTTTTTTTTTTTTTTTTTTTGAGACGGAGTTTTGCTCTTGTTGCCCAGGCTGGAATGCAATGGTGCGATCTTGGCTCACTGCAATCTCCGCCTTCTGGGTTCAAACGATTCTCCTGCCTCAGCCTCCCAAGTAGCTGGGATTACTGGCACCCACCACCATGCCCAGCTATTTTTTTTGTATTTTTTTAGTAGAGATGGGGTTTCACCATGTTGGCCAGGCTGGTCTCGAACTCCTGACCTCAGGCGATCCACTCGCCTTGGCCTACCAAAGTGGTGGGATTACAGGTGTGAGCCACTGCGCCCAGCCTCTGGACGGAATCCTAAGATGTGTGCAAAATATCTGCTACATGGTAGGTATTCAAGAAAAAATAGCAGTTTTATTATTACTACTATTACTGCTACTACTGTTCCCACTGTTATTATTACCTAGGATTTCAAGTTGCCATCCATTAGTCCTCTTCCCTGAAACCATGGATAATATTGAAGCTCTACAATAGAGTTTCGTTTGTTTTGTTTTTTGTTTTTTGAGATAGAGTCTCACTCTTGTCACTGAAGCTGGAGTGCAGTGGCGTGATCTCGGCTCACTGCAACCTCTGCCTTCCAGGTTCAAGCAATTCTCCTGCCTCAACCTCTATTCTTTTTTTTTTTTTTTTTTTTTTTTTTTGAGACGGAATCTCACCCTTGTTGCCCAGGCTGGAGTGCAGTGGCGTGATCTCTGCTCACTGCAACCTCCGCCTCCCGGGTTCAAGTGATTCTCCTGCCTCAGCCTCCTGAGTAGCTGTAATTACAGGTGCCTGCCACTACACCCAGCTAATTTTTTTGTAGTTTTAGTAGAGACGGGGTTCCACCATGTTGGCCAGGCTGGCCTCAAACTTCTGACCTCAGGTGATCCACCTGCCTCGGCCTCCCAAAGTGCTGGGATTACAGGCGCGAGCCACTGCGCCCAGCCTACAATAGAGTTTCTGTGGCAAAATAATTTTGTCTTTTTCCTGAGGGTACTGGAAAGCCATTGATGAATTTTCTTTCTTTTAAACATTTTTTCTACTGTACTATTTTTCGGATTTAGTGAAGTATAATTGATGAGCAATAAAATGAATTTTTTTTTTTTTTTAGACAGGCTTTTGCTCTGTCACACAAGCTGGAGTGTAGTGGCATGATTTTGACTCATTTTGTGATACGCTACCTTGTTTTAACCTGAGTGACTCTCTCCTAGCAGAAAGAGAGCCGGACAGACTCCATTTTAGTTTCTTCACTTGTAACCCCTTTCACCTCCCTCCAGGCATAGCTAGTGTAAATCTGACTCAAGGCATGTCCAGGAATGCACCTGTTGATAAGATGGTGAGGCAAGCTGCACCAGCAGTTCCTGGGGGTGTGCGCGGTGGATGGCACCCAACACCCCTGCATTTATCTCTTTGTGATAGCTTAAGTCCCTGCACCTGGAACTGTTTATTTTTTTGTAACTGCATTTGTAACCAATTAATTTTTTAACCTTTTGCCAGTTCTGCTTCTGTAAAAATTGTTTCAGTTAAAAGCCCCCCACCCCTATTTAGACCAAGGTATAATAACTAACCTAGCCCCTTCCTCGGGGCCGAGAGAATTTTGGGCATTAGCTGCCTCTCGATTGCCGGCTAATAAAGGACTCTTTAATTTGTCTCAAAGTGTGGCATTTCTCTATAACTCGCTTGGTTACAACAATTTCAACCTCCACCTCCCAGGCTCAAGCTATCCTCACAACTAAGTCTCCCAAGTAGCTGGGACTACAGGTGCCCATCACCATACCTGACTAATTTTTGTATTTTTTTTTTTTTTTTGAGACAGAGTCTCGCTCTGTCACCCAGGCTCTGGAGTGCAGTGGTGCAAACTCGGCTCACTGCAAGCTCTGCCTCCCATGTTCATGCCATTCTCCTGCCTCAGCCTCCTGAATAGCTGGGACTACATGTGCCCGCCACCAGGCCTGGCTAATTTTTTTGTATTTTTAGTAGAGATGGGGTTTCACTGTGTTAGTCAGGATAGTCTCGATCTCCTGGCCTTGTGATCCACCTGCCTCGGCCTCCCAAAGTGCTGGGATTACAGGCGTGAGCCACCGCGCCCAGACTAATTTTTGTATTTTTTTTTTTTTTGTAGAGACAGGGTTTCGCCATGTTGTCCAGGTTGGTCTCGAACTAGTGAGCTCAAGCGATCTGCCTGCCTTAACCTTCCAAAGTGCTGGGATTACAGGCAGGAGCCACTGCACCCAGCCTTGACAAGTTTTGATATATTTATACAACCTTGAAACCATAACCATACACCCTTGAAACCATAACCACAATCAGGATATTAAAAAAAACCTGCCAAACCAGTTTCCAAAGCGGTTTTATCACCTTAAAATGGTACCATCAGTGTATGAGAATTGTTGTTGCTCTACATTCATGCTAATACTTGGTATTGCCAGTCCTTTCAGCCATTCTGGTGGGTGTGTAGTGTAATCTCATTGCGTTTCCTTTTTTTCCCCCAACATCTTTCATGTTATTTGCCATCCATTTAGTTTCTCTCTTTGGTAAATTGTCTCTGCTAATTGTTTTTCAAATTGGGTTGTTTGTCTTCTTGTTGAGTTGAAATAACTCTGTATATTTCCAGGTAATGGTTACATGTTTTGCGCAATTTTACTCTGATCTGTGGCTTGTCTTCATTTTCTCTCTCTTTCTCTCTTTTCTTTCTTTCTTTTTTTCTTTCTTTTTTTTTTTTGACGGAGTTTTGCCCAGGCTGGAGTGCAATGGCGCAATCTCTGCTCACTGCAACCTCAGCCTCCTGGGTTCAAGCAATTCTCCTGCCTCAGCCTCCCAAGAAGCTGGGATTACAGGCATGCACCACCACATCTGGCTAATTTTTTTGTATTTTAATAGAGATGGGGTTTCACCATGTTGGCCAGGCTGGTCCTGAACTCCTGACCTCAGGTGATCCACTCGCTTCAGCCTCTGAAAGTGTGGGGATTAC